>NC_000013.11:89889342-90192372 GCF_000001405.40 Homo sapiens | reverse complement strand
GCTGACATAGTTCTAGAAGAAATTCTAGAAGATAAGAATTGAGAGAATACAAAACTTGTGTTTGAAATTTTCTCAAACTATTAAAGAATGTCAATCGTGAGATAGAGCAATCTTTAAAAATCTGAGTCATAATAAATAAAAAGGAAACTACATCTAAGCATGTCATACCGAAGTATGTGAACATTAAAAAAAGATAAAATTCTAAATGTAGGCTAGACAGAAATATTATTTTAAAGGAACAATGCTAAATTTAAGAAATAATTTTCCAAATGAAACAATGGAGCTCAGGAGACCCTGAAATTGCCATCTCAAAGGATGAAAAAATATCTTCCAACCCAGAAATCTAAATTTAATAAAGATATTCCTCAAAGTGAAATTTCAAGACACTTTTGGACAAATAAATATGAATTCGTCATCTATAGACCTGCAATAGTCATACTAATGCTGTTACTTCAGGTAGAAAATAAAGCATTCCAAATAGAAATATGAAAATTTTGAAGAAACTTAAAATCCTCAAACAGGCAATTATGTGCAAAACTCTTAGTGAATGCTGACTGAAGACAAAAACTTAAGTAATAATAGTAAAAATAATGCTGTCTTGTGTGATTCAAAATACCCGAAATGCTTGGGTTCGTACAGAATTATGACAGTTGCCTGATTTCAAATCTCTTAACATTTCCTCAAAAATACCATACGTATGGAACAATGCAGGACAAAAACACTAGACTCAGAAGTAACAAACTTTTACATTTGGGAGTGATACAGCTTGGAAGGAGAATATGTCCAGTGGAACTAGGAAGAAAGGGGAAAAATAGAAGCAGGTAGTAGAAGTTAAGGTTTCTACAGAAAGTAAAATTAATTGTAAAATTAAGAACATAATTGAAAAAGGCACCTATGAAGTGAGAGCTACAGAAAGTTATCAAAACCTTTAACTTCGGCCTATATACCCATTATTTCTGGTTCAGAAAAATGCAACACATTTAAAAGTGAGAAAGAAATTTATATGGTTTGGATTTGTGTCCCTGCCAAAATCTCATGCTGAATTGGAGGAGGGGCCTGGTGAGAGGTGATTGGATCGTGGGGGCAGATTTCTCCTTTGCTCTTCTCATGATAGTGAGTGAGTTCTCGTGATAGTGAGTGAATTCTCACAAGATCTTATGGTTTAAAATGTGCGGCACTTTCCCCCCATTCTCTCTCTCTCTCCTCCTCCACCATGGTAAGATGTGATTGCTTCTTCTTTCCCTTCTGCCATGATTGTACGTTTCCTGAGGCCTCCCAGTCATGATTCCTGTTAAGCCTGTGGAACTGTGAGTCAGTTAAACCTCTTTTTTTTTTTTTTTTCATAAATTACCCAGTCTTAGTTCTTTATAGCAGTGTTAAGAATGGACTAGTACAGAAATACACAGTCAAAAGGTATACATAGCTACTATAATAACACAACAATATAAAAATCAAAATGTTGTTAACATTAAGACATCAGCTGATAAAATTTATATCTAGACCATTTACAAAAAAAAAAAAAACAGAAGAAAACTAACACAGCATTCAGATCTAAATATTTACATACTATTTAACAGAACAAAGAGTTTATCAATGGGCTTAAATTTGTGATATTCAAATGGTTTGCCATATATCCACATTCCCGCAATGGATCATTGAAGCCTCATTTATGTCACTAATTATAAGATATACATTGAACCTGAAGTTAAGAGACACACTTATTAGTTTTAGTCTCCTATATCACTGGCCAAAGGCAAAGAAGGAGGTTACTATATGGGCTAGTATAGCTGGTCCTAATTATTATGGAGAAATTAGTTTGTTCCTATATCTTTGGTATGGGGCAATCTATTCATAGGTCACCTGTTAATACTTCCATGTCCACTAGCAAAAGTTAATGAAACATTACAGCTATCAATGCAAGTGTGGGTAGGATCACTGAGGCTACAGATAGTTTAGAGATGAAGGTTTTGTTCACCCCAATGCTCACATCACCTTCCTCCTTTGACAGAGGGTTCCCCATTATATTTTGCTATTTGGTGGCTTCAGATGGAGACTTGAAGGCCAAAAAGGGAAAAATGACTTACTTCTTCCAGTTTACTTGCTAGTCCTATAAGCTTCCCCCTAGCAATGGCCCTTGCCCTGACCTGAATCTCATCTCTATTAAGCCCTTCCTCTGGACTCCACAGATATCATTACTAGCTAGATAACACCTCTGAGGCCTACATCTTAGAATTTTGAAGTCTCTTAAGCAAGCTTTCAGGTTTTGATAAAGCCAATGTTATTTTTTTGTTGTTATGAAGGATAGCCTTCAGCTTGGCAACTACTTCCTGTGATTATTACATTGTGTTATACAACACAATTGGTACCTGTTGTGGGTGTGGGCAAGAGGCTCCCACCTATTCTTCTGACGAATGTGCGGTGGTGCTGCCAGATACTCCCTTGCTCCCCACCAAGATGGTCCCAGCTTTCCCTAAGCCCACACCCACACTCCAATTGGGGCAGAGAGTGGCAGAGTCACAGGCTGCTGATGGGCATTGCATGGAGCACCAAAAGTCAGGAAATAGGCAGCTGAGAACCCGACCCAGGAGTGGAAGGAGGCAGTGTGGAATAGCCATGTGTGAACCGAGACTCCAAGCCCCAGCATATGCTTCATTGTCTCATCTGACTTCACATACAAAGCACACATTCAAAGATAAAATTATTGTGAATTTCAAGATGGCAACCACAGAGCATTAAACTCTTTCTACATTGGGGTTTTGTGTGACTGCACTGGTTGCTTATCTACGATGCCAGCTCTGTACACTGGCAAGGTAAATGCAAACACTTTACTACTATTCAACAAGGAATGCAAATTGCACATTTTCAAGGTCTGTGTAATATGAATGAGAGGATGAGGTCTGATTAACTTTTTAATTGCTTCTACAAATTAAGTGCCTGTCTGGTACTTAGTAATTTTTTCCCTTGAATCATTTCCTCAGACTATCTGACTCAATTGCCAGAATTGCTCCATAAATTGCAGTTTTTTTGTTGTTTGAAAATCATAATGATTTTATAAGAATGTGACATCACTCTATATAAGTATGTTTATATCATGCATGTTGATAAGCTTACCAAATACTTAATGTGGTCTAGAACCATTTTATTTCTTTTAAATTTAATTAAACATAGGTATTAAAACTGATTTAATATAACTTTTATTTCCTTGCTTCTGTTTGCTGAATACATACATTTGTGATCCCTTATCAAAGGTAGTAGCTTTCTTTTTTACCTGATCACAGAATTTATACAGAACTGATCACTGACTTGCTAATGGTTGGAGAAGAAGATAATACACATGGCCTTTAATTTATTTATTTCTTGATTAACTGATGGAAGGTGCTACCTGAAAGGAATGAAAGCAGATAACCCAACCTAATTTTTTTTACGAAGCTGCTAATGATCAATCTCCTATAAATAGGCAAAATATATTTTAGATGAAGAGGGATTTTTAGGAAATTCATTTAGCAGGCTACCCTTGGTTTAGCATTGCGTAGGCAAAGCAAACCTAGGATATAGGGAATGATGAGGTATGACTTTTGGTAACATATTACATAAGCTATACCAAGTCTACAAAGTCTGGGATACAAAGTAGAGCTGTTTTGCCATTTATACAGTAACTAACATGTATCCCCTGCTAAAGGCCCCATACATTGCTCAGGGCCAAAGAGCTTATGTTTGATATGTGAAGGAAGGAATCACTCTGACCTCTCCCTGTTTCTCCTTTGTTTATTTATTGAATCATTAAAATAAGGGGCAAAATCTCTGAACTGAGTCTAATTTGGCAATCAAATTATTTTCATAATTATAAACATATTTGAATTTAAACTTAAGGACAAAAATACGTGTCTTAGCCCCATATATTTCAAGCCACTTGCCCTTTAAATTTTTGAAAGTTGAAACAATGTGTTTGACACGAAGCCATTTATCTGGAAAAAGCGGGAAGAGAAATTCTTGATGTTAATGCACACAATTATACACACTTAAAACATTTTAAAAGCTGTCAACTTCTCGGTTCATCAACCTTAACAGCAACCCATAAAATTGTTCTTGTTTTGTACATCTTTAATTTGAAAAGCAGAGAAGCATGATGTTGTACAGCTTTGATAGCATCTGTCACTCACATCAGGGACGTAAGTTTGTTTCCCTAATGTGACTTATCTATATTGAAGTTTTTGCCATAAATCTTATTTTTTAAATAAGTAAATTCATGAAGCTTATAATCTGCACATTACGTACAATTTTAATATATAAGATGATAGCACCCTCTAACATTGATTTCACTTAATCTTTAACCTGACATATTGCAGGTTTTACAGTAGCAGTTCTCACATTGAGACTCCATCTGTTAATGGCAGGAAACGACATTGCTATACTCCAGGAAGCTGCCAAAAAAGTGTAAATGACTTGATATGCCATGCACTGTGGTGTTCCACTGTACTTAAAGATGCTCTTTTTGTATTTCCCAAATACATGGTAATGGCCGTCAAATACAACTGATAACAATCCCTGAAGATCAGTATCAGTTACACATATTAAGACATGAAGGAAACAACAATAATTTATATCTACTACTGTTGATGTATAAAAATTCCTGTAGCATCTCTCAGAGAAGTATCTAGGCATTCTGACAGAACTATTAAAAGTGTTAGTTCCTATCAGTGAGCTAAGTTAAGGTTGCCAAATGCTTTCTCAAGCTCTGCAAGTCAGTGAATCCTTTAAGTCATACTACTTTGATTATATTAGTTACAGGGCTTCTCATAATCTTTCCAAGTGTGTCAAAATGGAATAATGTGAGCATTCAAAAGCAATTTATTTCCTGGAAAATCTTCAAAAAATGCAAAAGACACTTTTCCATAAATTAAATAGGGGAGCACGTCTTGACAAATAGAGTCTTTTTCCAGGTCAGATAAATAAATATTCATTTGGCACCTACTGTGTGTCAGGAAATTGCTGAGTGCTGGGTCTATAGATACTATAAAATATATTTTCTTCTCACAGAAAACACATCGATAATTTACTGAAAATGATACACTTACATGGAATTGGAAGGCAATCCATTTGTCATAAGGGCCGCCAGAGAGAGAGAGAGAGAGAGAAGTAACATTGTAGTTTAGGATAGTAGAAAGAACTAGAATTTTAATTGACACTGGCTTAAATAAAAGCAACCTTTAACACATATTTTTGTTGTTGTCGTTCAATGACAGTGATAAAGGTCTATGATTTCTATAACTTTGTTTTCTTATCAATAAATTGGAAGGTGTTTATGCCTATCAAAGGAAGTAGGTTTATTGTAGGAATTAAATGAGATGCGCAAATATATAAAATTCAAAGGAGGAAGAAATTTAATGATCTTTTATGGTCACAGAAAGCTTCACATAAAATATCATACTTAACCAAGGTATTGAATGCTATCTATGTTTAATAGGTGGAAGACGGAAAGAGAAAACCATATGAAAAAAAGACACAAATTTCTAAAAAAGCATCCTGTCTTTGAAGAGTGGCAAATACTATTCTGTTTTTGAGTACAGAAATAGATCCAACTTGGAATTATAAAACAGAATGGTAAGAATATAAGTAGAGAAAGATATATAAAATTGTTGTTTTCTATATTGGGTGTTTTTTCTCTGGATGCAGTCTTTATTGTTTTTTCATCCAAACATGCTGTAGAGTTGGATTTGTTTTACTAATTAAGTATTCTATTTGAAATAAGTTTAAATTAACATCAGAAGGCAGTCTAAAATTGTAGTATAAATTCCCTAAAAGGAGAAGGTTCTACAGTTTCGGCTTCATGTAGAGACTTACACTATCTAGCATGTATCTTATAGAAAACACATGTTTAAATATATGTTGAGAAAATTATGTTAATATTTGAAATGTAATACAAGTATATATAGTAAGCATCACAAATTTAGAAAGCAGTTATTAATCATGCAGTGTCAATATATAATGAAAGTTGTTTTGTTTAATTATAAACTTCTTTATGTATTTATAGAATTATCTCACTCTCACAAGGAACTTTAATAGGCTACATACATTAATTCATCTCTTTGGAAATACTGTTCACACAGAATTATCGCCGAAGTATGAAATTAGGTTTGGTGATTCAAGAGTTCTATAGTTTTAATTTTTGTCAATAAATGTAAACTTCTTATAATTTTTCATGAATTTTAAACTATAGTATAGTCCTGATATATTTTAAGAAAATTAAATTTACATTTCACAATTACTAATTTTTAAAATTCATTCAGCATAATTTACCATAATATATAAAATATGAGAAAGTTCAAGAATTATTTCCTTTTTTTGCCTAGTATTAATAGCAGATCTGCTTACATTAACCCAAGGGAATATTGACACTACTGTTTTACTCAGAGTTACAAAGAAAATTCCTAAAGACTTGCCCTCTGACTCATTCATATATTCACACATTCACAAAGTATACAACACTCACTTAGGGAAAATTTTTTGATCTCTACCAGTAAAAAATACTGCTTCCCTAGCTTCCAAAAAGGGTATTGTTGTATTACATACCTTTATTTGGTTGGCTAATTTAAGTATGTCCTCAACTTGAGTGTGAAAATCTTGATTCTTCTCATATTAAATAAGTCAATTAGTGTCATGAATTTGTTTTTATGAAGCTCATGGCAGCCTGTTACCTCTGTTAAGCCATTGTTTTCCACATCCATTGGGCTTCTGCTGAAATGCAGCTACTGTTTTGCACCATCTTCTGGATGTCTACAACCGAGTCCTATGGTTGCTATCTTCTTTCCATCAAAATACTCTCCTAAACTCTTGTCTGGTTGAAACTCCCTTTTTTGGCATCTACAAGACAGTTCAAATTTTGTTTTGGGTTTCAAAAAGGCTTTTCTTTACATTAATATTACAATTATGAAAGTTAAAGTGTACAGCACAAAATAACCTGTTAACACAGAGGAATTAACAAGTGAAATTGAAAAGACTGTATGTAGCTTTGGGTATAAGTTAAAATTGTACCAGGCTACTAGTAACAAATGAATAATAGGAATTTAAACAAAATAAACATTTCTTTTATCTATTATAAACAACAGGGTATTAAACAACTGTGGAATGTTGGATTATTTGTGGATATTTGTTCCGAATGTTTTCCTCTCTCCCTGGAATAGAATTTTGCATTCCTTTGTTTCTAACTTTTCAGTGCCTCATCACTTGGACTTAACCATATGACTTGCTTTGACCAATAAAATATAAGTGGAAATTCTACTATGCTACTTCCAAGAAAAGTCTTAAAGAAGTCTGGAAAATTTCCACATCTCTCTATACATGTCCTCTGTCCCCAGTCAGAGGAAAACATACTAGGAAGTTGTTAATTCTTTAGCTCAGATCCTGGAATGAAGACACCTGGAGTAGACTTGAAAGTCTGAAGTCCAGCTGACCCCCAGCTCAAATTAGTGAAAGTACAGTCCACCAGCCAACCTGTGAGCAGTAAATAAATATTTGTTTTAAGTTACTATATTCAGAATAATTGTACCAAATTTATCTCAAGTTATCAGTTCTCCAGGGATAGTATGACAGCTACTTGTTGAGACCTTGGACACTTTTATCTTTTAGGCACAATATATTTAACTGACTTCCATCTTCAAGCAAAGAGTTGTTCTCCAAATGGCAATTGGAATTTGCAGGTAACATTTCTAATATATATTTTGCCAAACTTACCTACAATAGAGCCATAAAACTATAATCTTTAACTAGGAATATTGCCTGTTGTAATAAAATTGTGGTTCTGTTACTAAGAAAATAATGGATATTGAACAGACATCTGGTAATCATTGCCAAACTCTGACGTAGCCCTCTATTGTAGGCTAGTGTTCTCCCCAAATCTAAATGTTGATATCCTAACAGCCAGAACCTCAGAATGTGACTGTGTTTGGAAATAATGTTTTTAAATAGGTATACTTCAATTAAAACAAGGTCATTAAAGTAGGCTCTGATAACCAATATGACTGGTGCCTTTACATGAAAAGACAATTAGGACGCAGATGGGTACAGCATGATATCATGTGAAGACATAGGAGATACACAGTCTCTACAAGCCAAAAGAGAGGCATCAATAGGAAGTAACCCAACCAATATCTTGATCTCAGACTGTTACCTTCCAGAATTGTGGTACTTTCTTACTGCAGTCTTACCAAATAAATACATGTTTTGATACCAGGTCTGAGGTACTCCTGTAACAAATACCTAAAGATGTGGAAGTGGCTTTGGAACTGGGTAACAGAGCCTGGAATAATACTGAGGTTCATGTTAGGAAAAAAAAAACCTACACTGCCTGGAATAAATTTTGTAGAAATATGGACATTAAAGGCAGTTCTGGTGAGTACACAGAAAAAAGGAGAGCTGATAGCTTCTATTTTCAGAGAGAATGCATATATAATCATGAATGGAATATCAGTCGATGTATGAATATTAAAGATGCTTGTGGTGAGGCCTCAGACAGAAATGAAGACATGATATTGGGAACTGGGGGAACAGAGATTCCGGTTATGAAATGGCAAAGAACTTGGCTGAGTTGTGTTTGAGGGTTTTGTGCAAAATAGAACTTTTAAGTGGTAAACTTGAATAATTAGCTAAGGAGATTTCTAAACAAAGTATTGATGGTGTTTACTGGTTTCTCCTTGTTGCTTATAGCAACCTGAGTGAGGAGAGAGATAAATTGAATAATTGTTAGGCAAAAATGAACCAGAACTTGAAGACTTGGAAAATTACCAGCCTATTTATATTGCAAAATAATACCAAAGAATTTTGGGAAGAGAACATCAAGGATATTGCTGGGCTACAAAGATCTGCTAGAAAGATTACAGGTAAGTGACACAATAAGATATGCATATTTGATCCCTGCACCTGGTTGCTTATACAGTATTCCTAAGACTCTTGTAATTTCCTGAGTGATGGAACTGATAGAAGCATCTTACCCAGATCTTCTGAGTTCCTTGAAATTTTTTTTTTTTTTTTTTTGAGACGGAGTCTTGCTCTGTCGCCCAGGCTGGAGTGCAGTGGCGCAATCTCGGCTCACTGCAAGCTCCGCTTCCCGGGTTCACGCCATTCTCCTGCCTCAGCCTCCCGAGTAGCTGGGACTACAGGCGCCCGCCACCGCGCCCGGCTAATTTTTTGTATTTTTAGTAGAGACGGGGTTTCACCTTGTTAGCCAGGATGGTCTCGATCTCCTGACCTCATGATCCACCCGCCTCGGCCTCCCAAAGTGCTGGGATTACAGGCATGAGCCACCGCGCCCGGCCTGAGTTCCTTGAAATTTATTGGGTGACAGGAACATTTTCATTTTTATGAGGCAACTCTTGGTGGGCTCCCATAAAGCTTCAGGATGGGGGCAGGTCACCAGAAAGACCAAGTCATAATTAGAAGCTAAAAATATTTAGTTCTACTCCCACATCCTCTAGCGAGGGGAGTGGGATTAGAGATTGAGTAAATCCATCATGCTCACATGAAATGAAACCTCTACACAAATTCCTAATCTATCGGATTCGGAGAGCCTCTGGGTTGGTGAACACATCCACATGCCAGGAAGGTGGCGTACTCCAAGTCCACAAAAGTGACTCTATTAGGACCCTTCTGGACTTTGCTCCATGTACCTCTTCATCTGGCTGTACATTCATATCTTTTATAATATCCTTTATAATAAACTTGTAAACTTGAGTAAAGTGTTTCCTGAGTTATATAAACTGTTATAGAAAATTATTGAACTATTGAACCTGACAAGGAGATTATGGAAAACGCTGATTTGTGATACTTTTGGTGGTAGTCTTGGAAAACTAATATACTATCCCAAAGTCAAACTTGCCTACTATATTCTCCTTTAATTTATTTTATTTTTAGTTATTTTCTTATAAAATATGATCAAGTCACTATATTATACAGATCATTTGACATCTCCTTCATGCTTTAGAATTTTTGGTTGACAGATTTATAGTGACTTTATTTTCTATACACTTTTGTTTAATTGCTAATTTTAAATAATATATCTTGTATTTACTGATCTGTTAAGATCAAATTAAGACCCTCAATTGACTGATTTCTTATTTACCTTCAAACTTTGTTAAGCTATCCCTTCCCTTTTCTATTGCTAAGGTTTACATAAGAAAATTCTGTTCTGTAAATATAAGAGTAACTTATGATTTGTTTCAAGATTTGTTTACATAATTGAAAACTGATAATAGCACTTACAAAGCCTTAATTGTATAAATATATCTAGAGGACTAGGACTATTTAAAAAGATACAAAATGATTTATCACCAAAAGTCTGCTGTTAGCAGTTAAATATTAAAAACCTTATGGTCAGATTCATAATAATTTCTAAATTAAAAGAATAACTCAAAATTATGTCATGTCTATGCTTTCTTTTTTATCTGAATTGTCTTTTATAGATTCTCAGACCCATGAGATTTATTAATTGTGTTTATTTTTTCATGTTGACAGAAGAATAATTTGCTCATCTCTCATTCATACTGCTATCCAGATTCCTAACTGGGCTTCATAAAATTTACTGATCTACAGAAAAATTATTCTCAGAAACTTGTGAACTTTTGTCCAATGTAAACAGTCATTTTCTAGGAGAGGTGCACAGCTTTTATCATAGTACTTTTATTCTTTATACTCTGAAGTAGGTAGAATGCATTTTGGATGGCATATTTTCTTCTTGATTGTTTCTTTTCTCTTCCAGAATGCATTCTCTTTTGACTTTTTCATTAAGCAACATTGTGAAAGAAATAAAACTTCTGAGTCTTAGTATATCCGAAAATATTTCTTTTATCCTCTTGGTGGACATTTGATGGAATACCAAATTTTAGATCCAGAATTTCTTTTGCTTACAATTCTGAAACCATTATTTTATTCTCTTTTGCCAAATGATGTTGTTGATGTGAAATTAGATGTAATACAACCTTCATTCTTTCTATGATAGCATGCATAATGTTGGTATGTGTTTTACTTTTGAAACTTCACTAGAACGCATGTTGAGCAGACTGCCTGTCTGAATGCTGGATCTCCCCCTTCCTAGAACTGCCAATTTAATCTAGTCATTTTGCCCTCTCTAAAATTAATTGTCAGTACTTTAAATTTGTCAATAATTGTGATATAGCCATAACTTTGTCCTCTTTTCACTGAGCAATTTTGTCCAATTGAAAGAATACACTTCATTCCACACACTTAGATGGACTTTTACTGTGAAGCATCTTAAAGCTTTTGGATAGCAAGCATATTGATCATCCTTTTAATTTGATTCTCCACACAAGGACGGGCTTCAATCTGCTTTTATTGATCAAAGTTTTTCTCAGTTTTGGTTTCAAATAGTTGGGAATAAGAAAGATGCCTCCTTCAACACTTAAAGTTCAAAAAAGTTGGATTCTTTTATTTCTTTATTGCAAAGTGATGAATTCTTTTTCTGAATTGATCTCCTCTCTGTAGTGCGTTGACAAATAGAGCACATAGTGATAAAAATGTTTTGTGAACATATCATTGTATTCTTCTCCCCAAATATCTTGGCAAACCAATTCTATAACAAATTACTGTTCTCATCTCCCAACTCCCAACCTCTGTAGGTGAAGTAGGCAGAATAGCTTGGAGACTGGTGTTGTAGACTGCAGTGTCTGTGAGTCACACTGTGTGAGTGGAAACCTGTCTCCAACACTTGCCGGCTGTGCAATTTCAGGCTGATATTGCCTGCCTTCTTCGTGTCTCCTTTCACTCACCTGGGAATAATGACAGTTTCTTTCTCATTGGGCTGTTGTTAGGAAACCAATCAATCAATCAATTGATCTACTGATACATAGATGAATCAGAACATTAGCTAGAATTTTCTAAGTGCAACTGCAAAAGTAATAGTAGTTATAATTACTGTTTAATTATTGTCAACAGCAACAGGACAGCGAGGTGGGGAAGTGCCTGGGTGCTAAAACCTGATGCAATATTTAGAAGAGAAGTCATTCACACTTTTTTTCTTTAATTTTAAGCTGTTTGGGGCAATTTCAAGGCAAATGGAAGGAGCAATTAACCTGCCACCATGAACTCAGTCACCTAAGTATGGTAGATAAAAAGTAACATTTTAAAAAATGTTTTTTAAAATTAGTTACCAAATAGTTGATCTAATAGCTTATCTAAAATTTTCCATAGGTAGTGGATATATATTTTCTTAATCAACTAACATCACTTTCTCTATTTGTGATAGCAGAACCTCAGTTTCCCATAGAAAATCCATTTTTTAATGGGTTGGAGAAGGGCCTTAAGCTACTTCTTTCTACTATAACAAAAGCAGTAAGTGAGCCTGATTCCTCGGACCTGGAAACCAACGAATTCCATCTCCCTGGCCTCAGTGATTAGTTTGCTTGCAAAATAAAATCTTTCGCATCACCATGGCATCCATGCATAAAATGAGGATGACGTCTCAATACATATTTTTAAAATCTGGATTATTAATTTATTTCTGGCCATTACAAGATGATAATGCACTCTTTGAGGTTTTAATAATAGGTTGTTGACTTTTTTAGCTTCAAGAAATTGATATAACTGCTTAGCAAAAGGCATTCAAAGCTCTATAGAATCATATCTACTATTAATTTTTTTTAATTCTACTCATTTATTAATGTGTTTTATCATTTATATATTATCAACTTTAAAACCATTATTTTCCACGTATTCTAAAGTTTCTGTTTATTTAATCACAGTTATATTGATAAAGATTTTCACATGATTGGTCCTATTAATATGACTAATCATTGACAGAAGCCAAAATTAGAACTCAGGTTTATGAGATATAATATAATTTACTATTTATAATCATTCTGTTTTTACTTTATTATTCAACTGTTACCAGTGTCTGCTATATATTACCTGAATTAATAATTCACACAAGGCCAATAAGCTGAAGTGTAGAAAAGTTTCATGATAATGCATCTGGGAAATGTCAAACTTTCTACTTAAAAATTAGTAATCTCTCAAAGAATCAAAAAGAAAACATATAGTCTTTACCTTGGACAACAGTATTCTGAGAATTGCAATATACTTTACTAATGAGGAGATATTAGACATTAAAATACAGGAAAATAAGGTAAAAATAAACAATGAACCATGGAAAAATACTATGATAATCAAATGAAGATCTGTGATCAAAAATTTCTTTAGCATTAAAAGTGCACAATTGGCTGGAATAGATATTACTCGTGTGACATAGACAAGTCTGAGAAGTAAATAGTTTGTTTCATACAATAAAAAATAAAATTATTCTAAAGAATAATATATTTGTTTTTTCTGTGTATATTCTCCATCTTTAGCAGTGAATTTTTCTATTGATTACAATGAAAATGTTTTCAATTAAAAATAAATGCTGTGCTAAAATAATAATTAACACTTATTGGGTATTTTATTATGCTAGACATTGTTCTAATTATTTTGCACACTTTTACTCATTCAGTCTTCAAATTACCAGTAATAATTACTCCAATTACAAATGATCATTTCAAAATTGCAGAGGGTAAAATGAGGCAGAGAACACAAGTAATTCACCCCATCTTAGAAATGGTAAATATCCGAGCTATGATTGGAAGCTAGGCAGGGCATGTCTGACACTAGATGCTTAACCACTATTCTATACTACCATGTTATAAATAATTAAGTATAAAAAATAAATAAATTATTTTCATATATTTTTTTCTGTTGTGTTGAGAAAGTTGACCTAGATGTCTTGACATCAACATGCAGAAAAAAATGACTATAGATAAAAATAGCATTTAACTGTGTCTCTAAGACTCATAAAATTTTCAATGCTTTTCAAATCGTGGTAGAGAAATTATAATTAAATACTGAAGATTCAACTTTTTTTAAAATTCTAAAACTAAAGACGTAAAGCAACGTTTAAAATGTTACTCTCTTTAAATGTAATCATCATGTGAAGAAATAGCTAATCTCAAGCCTGCTTCGTTAGATCAGCTCTGCCAGGAAAAAACTAAGAAATTGTCCATACGGCATTGGACCATGAGATTCACTTACATTTTTTTTTAATCCTAAGAAGACTGGTCTCATATAGCCTCACTTTTTTCTTGCCTCCATTACATTCTTCATGTAAACTATGTATTAACTTTTAGTTTTTCTACTGTTAAAAGGAAATCTAAAGTTAAATATTTATAAAAAAATTTAAAGACATCAGCTTCTGGTTCAATATTCAATAAACTAAATAACTTATTTTTATGCAAAGATTTATTGTAAATTAGGAACTAATAAAAGAAGGGCCAAGGTTTTATCAAAATTTGAAAAAATTATAATGATGAGTTTGTGTAGCTCTTTACAATTTACAGAACACTTTATCATAAATTGTTTCATTTTATTTAATCATTACAACAACTTTATAGAGACCATCCAAGCATATTTCAAAAATGACAATGGTCTTCATAAAATGTGGAACAATAGAAAACCAAACTCAATAAAGCCTAGGAGAGTCCTGGTCCGAAGCAGAATTAGGAAAATGTGGGTTTTTATAGTCAGGTGCCAAATTTACCAAAATGAATCTTTTAATTTTGCAAATTTAAATTTTTTATGTGCTCCATATTTTTTCCTCTTGTAGTTACCATGGTGCTGCAACTGGCTGAACATGCTGTTACTATGGAAACAACAGTGTATTTCTCTGCATCTCATACATTTTGGTACATTCTTCAGATCTTTTCTTCACATGTGCATTTATTTTCATATGACAAATATGTAATTAAAAGTTCTATAGTTCTTGAGCAATTAGGGCAACTTAGACAATATTTTCATACTTACAGAACAATTGAAAATTAATGACAGAATATACACAATATTGTATATTTTTACTCATCTTCGTATTCAACCAAAAATTATCAGCTTACTTTTTGCATGTGTTCTTTATAGAAATAACTTGTTTATTTAAAATATTTTATGAAAAAGTATCACATATTTTCTTGGTGCTTCACCAACAAAATCAACAAAAATATGTTTACTGGCAACACAAAAGGAAAATATATTGAAATAACTCTTATGATGCCTACTAGTTAAAAGGAATAAAATATTTTTGTCACTGAGTCAACTCCAATAAGAGAAAATAAAATTATTCTAAGGAATTATATATATATTTTTTTCTGTGTGTATCCTTCATCTTTATCAGTGCATTTTTCTATTGATTGTAATGAAAATATTTGCAATTAAAAATAAATGTTGCCCTAAAAATAATAACTAACACTTACTGGGTATTTTTTTGTAATATAAGAAAGCCAATAAACAATAATTTTACATATATTTTTCACGTATCAGATTTAGTGAAGAAAATTCCTGTAAATATTCATATATTACCATTGTAGGCATTATCTTTTTAATTATACTACTTCTGGGTTTATATACTTTCCACTACCCTCCATACATACACTGAAAGACATTCTGACTACTAAATCATAATTCATTACAACTTCCAGAGAAATTATAATTAGGACTGTAACAAAACATATTTTTAACTGAAAATGCAAACTGGAGATCTGCAATGAAGCCCATTGTTGCACAAAATTATCTTTCTACTGATGCTTATTTCGTGTAGCAGGCTATCATCAGTTTAGAAATATTTACAAGTATTTACTTGTCTGTAGATGGCATGATGTTCTAGTCTTTCATAATCTAAAACACCTGTTTAATATACATTTTACATTTACCAAACCATCATGTGAAACACAATTTTGAAGTTTATTCATTCGTGCTACCTAAAATCGATTTGACACTTTATTTCAAAGAATTAAACATATAAGGACAAATGTAAATTGATGCTCCTTCTGTATCTAATTTATCCTTTTATAAGAATTGCACATTAAAGAAATACACATTTCCTTAAAATTAAATATAGGTTATTGAATACGTTTAATATGTTAGAGAAAGACTGCATTAGAAATAAATGTAGCATTTAAAAATATATTTCGTAGTCTGAGGCATGCACTGAAGTGATGATTATATCCTTATCTTGATACAATTAGGAAATATTTTTGCATGTGAGGATGCTCTTTATGGAGGGTAAATATTTGGAGTTTGTCATCTCGCGCCAAGAAGATAAAAGAAATGGACACACACAAGGAGTGAGTTTAGGAGAGTAGGTTTAATAGGCAAAAGAAAGAGAAAGGAGAACAGCTCTCCCTCAGAAGACAGAGGGGCCCACGAAAGGGAAATCTGGCCCACTGCAGAGTGCACCAGATTTTATAAGTAGGCTTGAGGAGGTGGATTCTGATTTACATAAGGCCCACAGATTGGTTGGACCAGGTGTGACATAATAATCTTGCATAATCTTATTACGCAAAATGACTTTGCAGTTGGCTGGCACCATGTTGTCAGCATCTTACAGTACACGTGGCTGGCAAAGAAAAGGGAAGATGGAACCACCATTTTGAATATGCCTCGTCCCAGGTAGCCTTTTCCTATTGGCACCACTGCCGGCACTCGCCCATGCAAACCTCCAGCTTGCTTGTCTGTGTCTGCAGCTCGATTTTACTGGCTGCTCTTAGTTAGAAAATAAAATGATTTGGGGGCCGCTTTTCATTAAAAGGAAAACCTTACCAAGAACTTCCTTACCCTCACTATCTGCCTAAATAATTTCTTCTTAACTTCTATATCATTACTTTACATTATTTACCAGTTTTTTTTAAAAACATCTTGGGCAAAAACGTAATAAATTTATTGAAAAATGTTATGTTAGTGCTCCCTTTTTTCATGTTTTGCTGTCTTCATAGTTTGCAAATAAAGGCCTTTAAAATACTATATTTAAATAACAGCAACTATATTAGATTAATTATTGTAATAAATGCTTCCCTGATTAATACATTTTCCTCATATTTTTTATTTAATAAAGACAAATCAAAGGAATTATTTAACAATTTTTGCACAACTATTCTTAACTGACAAAGATGATTTGTTTAAAAGGATCTTCAGGGTAGCAAAGATACATGCTAAGAGGGTAACACCAGGAAAAAAGACAAATACATTCTACTACAAGAAAATGCTTCAAGACCAAAAATATTAATTCAATAAGAAAATATTTCATATATCTTTTATGAGAGAAACTATTAATTAACTCACTTCTGTAATCCAGTTACGTGGCATATATTCCTTTTTCTAGTTTATCATGCAAAAGTTTGGAAAGATTTTCTCTAAACAGAGCAAGTCAGTGCTAACGGTTTCAAGTCAGGGCTGGCAGTCAGCCTGGAAGAGCATGCTCAGAAGGCCGTTTACACTTACCTGACCCCTGCCTGATACTCTCACCTGCTCCAAAAGGGTTCAGTTAATTTCTATTACTAATGAATTATCTCTTATACTTACTTAATAGACATATGAATTACTACAAATATACCTATAAATTAACAGGATATCATTCAATATGGAGGACAGCAGCTGGAACCTAATGACACCCTGGAGGTCTCTTGGTTACTGTTTTTAGGAAACAGAAAAAAACCTGCCTCATTCCAGGTAAAACATAAAAATAACACTTTAACAGAAAGTGTTCATCCTGCCTGTATGCTTCCCCTAAAATGCCGTGTGCGCAACACAGAATTAAATAAAATTAGGACATAAGAATTAACAAGTACACCCAAAGCAGACAAGAAGTTTAAGTAAGGACTGCTTCCTGTAATCCTATCCATATTGTTTCATAGACAATTTTCAGAACATAAAAATACAATAAATAATGGAAATACAGGGATTCATTTATTACTTTTTGCTTTACAATCAAAGACACCCAATAATATTTCTATTTACTTCTTATAAAAGATTATCAATTTACTTTTAAAACAAAATAAAAAAGTATAATTAAAAAAAATTCCAAATCAATTCCTACAGACAGCACAGAAAAGGGGGAAAAGGAAATTATTTTCCCTGCTTTCAAGCTTTATTACACAGGTTCAAAAATGATTATTTTATGCCATCCTTAAGTCAAAGGACATACTGCCATGCTTCTCTGCACTGAGTCTTAGGACATGCTAATGTTGCCAAATCAAATTTAAATATAGTCCCAATGGCATCACAATTTACAAATGCATATGCCAGGATTAAGGATGAATAGGGGGAAAAACTCCAAATGTTCTAGAATGCAGTTTAATCAAATGAGTTAAATGAAATAAGAAACATTTAATTTAGTAGTCTATCCTGTTAAATAATGAGTTTGTGTAGAAAACGTAGTCAAACAGAGCTAAAAATCATGTCTAGTAAATGACACAAATGATTTCTCAAATGTTCAAGTTTGACTTAAGTTCAAAGTCTAGTAGGTGGGGATTAATGATCTATATACTCTTTATACTAATTTTAGAACTTTAAATTCCAGAAAGACAAACTAATTTATTCATTAGTTTACTTTTGACAACAGAATTCTAAACACACAGAATTAATGCAGTGGCCTCAGCACCCTCCCAGTTAACATTTCTTTAAGTCAGATTACAAGAACAGTAAAACATTTCAGAAGACACACACTATGCACTTCATAGGTCTGCCCAAGTTGTCCCCAACTCTTTTGCAAGACACAAAGACAATTCACCTGATTCTAAGTCTATTCAGCAGAAATACAAAAATCATGCAAATGTTAGCATGGTTTCAACACATTATGGAAATACATTTGGAGAGATGGAGTACTCGATGTATATTATGTGGGCCACTTTAAATCAAAGGCATCATTATTTATTCAACTTTCAGACATTGCCATGGTAACTTATACCTTTATATCAGGTAGGTCCAAGGCCAGAGACTTTAGTATCATTCCAAAGAATATAGAGATATTTATATACATATTTCTTTTAAAATAATATTTAAGAGTTTTACTACAGAAAGTCTGGCTTCAACATGGAAGCATTTTTCCTTTTCAAGATTATACACCTGCATGAAAGTAGGTGATTTCCTCTACATTTAGTTTTTTCACAATAGCAAAATAGACTTCTTATATATTGCATTTAAATTGACAAGAAATGTAAGATGTAAAGTTCCATGTAACTTTTTGTATTGTGAACTGTTCTCTTTAAACATACTCCAGATACATTGCTGATTATTTAATACAGTACAACTTGATCAACTTAATTAGAAGTGTTATGATGAACAAACTGTGAAACCAAATGTATGTTAAAACAGTAGGTAGAGCTAACTATTATGACTAAAAGGGAATTTTAATGTATCCTCAAAATATACATCAATTTTCTTGTTATTACTTGTTTCTATAATGCATTTCTTTCTAAACCTAAAACTATATGTATAAAAAATAAATATCTTCAAACTAATTCAACAGTTTGCTACTTTATGTGGTATGTAAATAAAGTCTTTTATTTAATTTCATACACATTATCTTATGCATTATTTTATTTTTTCTTGAAGGAATTCATCTTTCAAGGTCAAAATTAGTATGTGTTTACACATGAGAATATTTTCTTAATGTTATTACTACCTGCAAATACATTCTTCCATAATAACACACTTGTAGTTTTCATCAGAAAGATAGCACAAGCCTTTTTAAAGTCCTATGAATAAAATTTATACAGGGAGGAGAACACAAGTATGGTGAATGCTCCCACTTCCAACAAAGTCTTAAGAAATCCTCCTGCTTCAAAACATAAACACAATTTCACAGGATTTTTATTTGATCATAATGTGGGCAAGAAAACTGTATTTCTATTCTTTTTGATAGTAACAGTTTTACTGAATTTGTTTTCACTTTCCATCAAAAAAACACGTAGCATATGTTGTTGATGTGGATTCTCAAACCCATTCAGAACCAGTACAGTCACTAGAGTAACATAGCATTCTGATTTTAAAAGCAGCTGATTGCTTATAGAAAAATGATATGCATCAGACATTTAATCAGAAAAGAAAAATGAGAACATGTCTTTCATGTTGGATATCATTTAACTTACAGGATGATGTGAAAATAGGTTGGTTATAATTTTAACAAAATTAAAACCCACTTCAACTAATGAAAAAAATCAGACACTGAAGAATCAAATATCTACCAACTTAGCTAGTATTACTGTCCAAATAAATATCTTCCATTGCACTGAACATTAGAATTAGAAATTCACTATATGTTCAGACATATTTTAATTATGTTCCAGAATTGCAGTTATACTGGTTAGTGTTCCCATTTCCCCACTCTTGCCTTCATCCCACCACTTTCTTCCAGGGCTCAAAATATTAAGTCATGGTTTTGGTAGCTATTGTAGATTAGAGCTGGCAAAACACAGTGTGTTCACTAGGTTTTATGAGCATAAACATTAAAATGTTACATAAAATGTACCATAATTTACTTCACACTCCAATCTAAGATGGTTTAATGTCATGACAAAAGGTGAAATGACTTAAGTACATTTTATATTTTGTGCATTTAGTCCACCACAGGCATAGATGTTCAAATGCTGAGTTCTTGGTCTTCAGTATCTCATAGTGCTGGATGCTTGAAACTATGACAGAAACTTGTAACACAGACTAACCACAAAGTATCAGATGTTTCTTGCCATTTGTGGTCTTGCAATAAAAATGTGTCAGATGAGGATCACAAGGATAGTATTAAAATCATAAGATATATTATGCAACTTGTTCAGATGTTTTCTGACTGCAGGGAGGCCAGACGTTTCTTTATTCAATATGTACTTCTCAGTTCCCATGCAGTAGTTCTCTATATATTCTGCCTAATGTAACTGCCGTACATCAATATTGAAAGTCTTTTTATCTTCAAGGTTTAGTTGATTCATTAACATATTGACATTGTCCGTATTCCAAACCCAAGAATTACTTGTGAAATACTCAAGTAACATCACAGCTTTGTGAAGATGAATTATTGTTTTCATCATCCTTGGGCTTCTTCCAGTCATCCTGAGGTAGATATCATCCAGGAATGCTGAGGCCTTATGGCTTACAGCAATCCAGTAATGATATAAAAGGTGATTGGAGGTTAGATTTACATTGGGCCATCTGAAGGCCTGTTCGAGAGGATTCCTCTTGAAAGTAGAAATTACATGGTATTAAACTTCACCCCAGTGGAAATGATTAGTGCTATCTGTTGTACAATTATATGACATGAGGTTTCTTGTTCTATTAACTCCGGAATACCAGGCTGCCACAAGACTGTTGTTGACAACTACATCTACAGGAACAAGATCTTCAAGGGCATTATTGGAGACGCGCATTGTTCAAAGAATTCCTTTCCCTGCCACAATAAAGAGACCACTTGGTCCATTAAAGTTATCAATCCATCCTGGAAAGTTCTTTCCAACTGGCACCAACAATAGACGGCCTTACAATCTCCACATTTAGCTTTGCTCCTTCTTGTTGTACAACATATTCTGCCAACGCTTTTGTGTCTATGTATGTGTCAGGTCTGTCTCCTATCAACTTTCGCATGATATCATTTACTCGGCCATAATCCATCCACTCTAAAGAATCAATCAGCTTCTTGGGATCCACAGGTGGTAGATAGACAGAGCAAGACTCCGTCTCAAAAAAAAAAAATATTTAAGCATTTACCTGCACTTTTTCACCCTAAAACTCGATCAGGTCAAATTTCATATACTAAGTGTTAGCAGTTTATTCTCTGGGAAACAGTTGTCTGGATAACATAACTTTAATCTCTGGAATTTGTTGGACAGTTTAGTAGCAGAAACACAACCTCACTAACTTAGTTTTAGCACAGTCATGTCAGCGCTTTTGCAGAATATATATGGTAAATGCAGTCCCAGTCAGGGTGACAGTCCCTTCTCAAGCCCAAACACTATGTGATAGAAGAGAAAATTTCTGATTTCAGATCCATTTAGTCCATACCATTTCTACTGGGCTAGGCATGGAGGAATCTCCTAGTTAACTCACAGTGTGTATTCATCTAACTCTTTACAACACAGACAACTGTCTGGCTGCTTTTCACAGTTTACTGGGGACTCACAGCAACCGAGATGCATTCTTAAGCTGTTCTGCTCATACCACAGAGCACACCCTCACACTCTCTTTTAGTGAGTCTCCTACCTTGTGGCAGCACAAGTCTCACTAACATCATGGACCAGGCCCATATCAGTACTTGGTTCTATTGCCTTTCTCCAGTGATTCCTTTTCTAGCCTGGCAGAAAAGAAGTGGGAAAAAAATGTAGAAAGGACAGACATGGTATTCTTAATAATGCATTTTTTTTCCGATTCTCTTTCTCGGTCTCTTTTTCTCTCTTACTTTTTTTCTTCCTTCCTTCCTTCCTTTTTTCCTTTATCCCTCATTACATTCCTTCCTCTCGTTCTATCTTTCTTAATTAATATAATTGGTTTCCACAGCCCAGTTATTGTGAATAATGCTACAATCAACATGGGAATACAGAGATATCTTGGACATACTGATTTCATTCCCTTCAGATATATACCCAGTAGTGGGATAGCTGGCTTGTATGGTAGTTCTATTTTTAATTTTTGGAGGCTCTTCATACTGTTTTCCATAATGGCTGTACTGATTTACATTCACACAAATTGTGTGCCAGAGTTCCCTTTTCTCTACATTCTCACCAATACTTGTTATCTTTCATCTTTTTGATAATAGCTGTTCTAACAGGTGTTAGGTAAAAAACACACACACGTACGTTATTTGTAAGTCTTCTTTGGGAAATTTCAATTCTAATCCTTTGCCCATTATAAAAAGTAAGTTTATTGGTATTCTTGGTTTTTTTATATTTCCTTTTTCATTAATAACCCCATATCAGATGTATGGTTTGAAAATAGTTTCTCTTTATTTTATAGATTGTCTCTTTAATTTATTTTTTCTTTCACTTTGCAAAAGCTTTATTTGTTTGTTGTAATCCCAGTTGCCCACTCTTGCTTTTGTTGCTTGTGCTTTGGGGATTATATCCAAAAAAATCATTGCCCACATAAATGTCATGGCTGTTCCCCTATGTTTTCTTTTAGCAGTTTGTCAATTTCAGGTCTTAAGCTTAAGCCTTAACCCCAGCCCTCCTTTTTGAAGCCATTGATTTTTTTTTGATAAATTAGGTTATTTTCCTTATAAAAATGTCCCACACTATGAATATGGCCAATTGATTTATTGTAGTTTTGTTTAAGTGTCTATGCTAACAGTTTAAATTAGTAGTTAGATCTAGAGTTTGGGGTACATTCAGACTTTATGTGCAAGGAAAAATATTTAGAGGTAGCACTGAGGTACTTCTCATATTGCATCATAAGTTACATACAATCTAATCGCTCCACATTTCATAATTTAAAATTGATCAGTGGCTTAAATGATGCTAGACTAATTTATGCATTATACAATGCCCTATTGGTTTTCTGCCTCATAATTTTTGTTTTTTACTTTTTTATATTTATATATTTAATAAAATTTGTATATATTTAAGGTGCACAACATAATGTTTTAATATGTACATATATATACACACACACACACGCACACACACACCATGAAATCATTACTAAACTGAAGCAAATGAACATATCTACCTCCTCACATAATTATTGTTAGTAATTTTTTTGGTGACAGCATTTGAAGTCTACTCTCTTTGCAAATTTCCAGTATATGTTACAGTATTATTAACTGTATTCATCATGCTATGCATTCAGTCTCTAGGCCTGTTTACTCTATATAACCACAGTGTTTTACCCGTTGACCATCTCTCCACTTCCTCTCACATTCCTACCCTTGGCAACCACTTTTCTACTCTCTGCTTCCATGTATTTGACTTTTTTTGGATTCAACATGTAAGTAGATCTAAGCAATATTTTTTATTTCTGTGTTTGGCTTTCCTGCTGCTTCTGAAGCTCTCTCTGTCTGTGCAAATGTCCAATTCTGCATTTCATTCTGTCATAGGACTGGCTAGGATACACTGGAGGAAAAATATAGGCGAACTCACATTGAGTTTCATGTTACTTTGAAACTAGTTTTTTTCTTTAATCTCCCTATTACTATTTACTTCTAAGTCCTCCAGCAGTACCTCCATGCATTCTTCCAGGTACTTTTAGCGGCATTACTTGGAAGAGGTAGAGAGAAGTGGTTGTACTTCCTCTCACTCAACTGGAATCCCTATATTTTCTATTGAAAGGCCTAGTTAGAGACTAAGGTTTTGATGGGCATTCATGTTACCCATTTTCCAAATTAGCACTGCCATTTTAAAAGTTTTCTTTCTAAGCCACCTGAAAGTAATTTGTACATATCCTGATACTTCTCCATTAGTATTTTAGCAAATATCTCCTTAAAATAGAGACATTCTCTTACTACCCATACTACAATTATCACACTCAATAATATTGAAACTATCTAATATATAATTCCCAGTCAAATTCCACATTCATATCTCTAAAAAACCAACCATACTAATTCCATACTTTAAAAATAATTTCTTAATATACTTTTTTATAAATTCATTTTATATGCTTATTTATTCAAATCAAGATCCAAACAAAATCCATATGCTGCAATTACACTGACATATTTCTTAAAACTATTTTAATATACTAGTTGTCTCCTTTATATGTTTGTTCTTTCAGTTGTTTTATTGGGAAAAAAATGATTTATTTGCCATTTAAACTTTTCCATGCTATAAGACTTGCTCATTGCATTCCTGAGTTGTCTGCTAACATCTGTCCCCCTGTATTTCCTATCAATAACATTTAAATGTTTAATTGGATTCAGGTTTAATTGTTTGGCATAAACATTTCTTAGGCTGTGTTGTATACTTCCTGATTTCTGTTTTTCTTTTTGAAATGTTAGCAGTTATTGATGATTGTAGCTTTAATTCATTATATTACTGGGGATGGCCCAAATGTGATACGCCAACTCTGTTCTTCTATTTTCAGATAGTAGCTATAATAGTTTTATGAAAATTAACTTTCCTTCACAAACTGTTTGGTTATCACCAAGTTCAGTGTGTATAGAAAAGGCAAGAAAAATGTTTACACACATCTCTTTACTTAGAGGTTTTAATATGATGAGTTTATCTACAAAGCTTTCTTCAATGATGATGTTTGAATAACATTAATTACCATGATTTGTTTTTGGTATAATAACATTATGAACTCATAAATATAAATATAACTGGTGTATTTTAATCCAAAAGGCAAAGTAATCTAATAAAAGAGACATCAGGTCCCTTCAAGTCAAGAAGAAAATAGTCTAAAGTTGAGTCAAGCTGAGGGGAACCTTACAGCCATCTTGGTCAGAACCATGTGAAAGTCTTAAGCCTTGTGTAATTAAGGAAACTGTGTCTTGTTGTTCTGTCCCCAGTTGTGGTTGTCTTTCTTCATTCATTTATTCTGCTGATCCTCTCTGTGTACTCTATGAGAATCCTAACAGAGATTAATAGACTTCCTCCTGCCAGTGTCTTGTTTCGGAGAACTTACTGCTTTCTGAAACCCCATTTTCTCCTCTCTGTTGCAGTTACATGGACTTTGTTATAAGCATGAATGTTTTCTAGATTGTGTTACAGCAGGTTGCTTCTTCCAAAATTACACTGTTGCCATTTATTGATTACCGTAGATGTGACCTCTCCCCTCTGTGACTGTGACGCTGTAGCTCTGCTCTGTGCTGATCTACACTGAAGGCTCTGTATTCTGGTCAACTACCGCTCTATTCCGGAGCTGAACTAAACCTGTTCTGCTGTGGAGGCTTTTATCTTCTTCTTCTACAAAAAGTGAATTCCAGATTAAGGCCTGAAAAGAAAAGAAATCATTGATACTGTGATAGTTTCTGAGTAACCACTAAATCTTACCCCATGGCTGAGGTAGTGGGTCTTCATATTTAGATACCGCAAATGTTGACTGTCAAGGTGTTGCCGTTTAGGTAAAAAATGTCATTGAGATAGGAGAAAAAACTCTTAGAAAAACAGCAGTGTTACTGTTAAAGTTCTGGCAATTTATTATCACACAGATTACACATTTTATTTTTTAAATAGGATGAAATATTCATGACCAACCCTTTTTTCTCTTGTTCTTCATCAAAAATTTCCTTTGGCAACTGGACGAAATTATGTGGTAATATAGCTTAATTTTTATTACCACATTTTGCTCTAATTTTTCGCATGACATAGTCTTTGCTCCTGTTTCTTCCCTAGCCATTTCTTATTAATTCTAAAGCCTTTCTTAATCACATCTTCTAATTCAAATCTTCCCATACAACCTCATTACTCATTGTGTTTTCCTTCACAAAATACTGTGAAACATTTAATGCATAATCAACCAATTTGGAACCATTCCTATACATTGAGAATGGACAATCTATAGCCCATATGTGAGATCTGGCTTAATCTGCATTATTGTAAATACATTTTATTGACACACAACCACACCTAAAATGATGTACTGTCTGTGGATGCTCTCGTACTGCAACAGCAGTATCAAGTAGTTGTAACAGAGACCACATGGCCAAATAATCAAAAATCTTCACTCTCTGACCTTTAAAAATGTTAACACTTGATACAAATAACTATTCCCATTTTTTCCCCTATAGACACAAATCCATAGGAAGGTGTGTGGGTGGTACTTACTTCAATCTACACTTCTCTGAATCTCTGCAAGTCTCTAAAGTTTAAATTGCCATGAATTTTATTTATTATAACTAAAACCTAAGGAAACTATTGTAGCTTTTAAAATAGATTTTCAGCATTAGACTTTGTACTTTAATGGTTTTATCTTGATTTTATAATTTCTTATAGAATTAATAAAACATTTTATGTTGGGAAATTTTCGTTGAGCTTAGAAAGTTAAATTTACTCAACCGTGCTATCTTAATCAGTCTTTGTCTCTTTGAATATTATAGACCCATTTACACATCTCCTAGGGCATTTTTAATATTTTTATCCACAGCAGCCTAATTTAATTTAAATTATGGTCAGAACATATGTATCAAACTCCATAAAAACAATTATTATCATAATTTATAGCATGTTTCTCAACTTAGTAGAAAATTATTTTTTATCATAGAAAAGCCCTCTTAAACTTTCTTTAAATCAGAAGTCTTATTTCAAGTAAGTAGCTTTGGAAAACAGAGTTCTACACAACTGGCAAAACCAGGGGCGGGATTTTCCAGGCTTCCGTTTTCTTGAGACTGCTTCAAATTTGTTTTCAATAGAATTTTGCTGAATCTGGGGACTTGGGAGATCACTGAATGAATTAAATTCATTGAGCATAACTTATTTTTCTTCTTTAATATGGTACTTTTAATCCTGAATCTTGAATACACTTTATGTTTCCTAAACTGTTCAGTTTTCTCACATAATTTTACCTAATTGGAATACAATTTCCATTTATTTCAGAAAACTCAAGCTCTCTACTATTCATTAATATTTAACTTTGTTCTTACCACTACAAGTCCAGCCAGGGTTCTGAGTCTCAGGTCCCAAGAACACCACTATATTATCAGGAAGCATCTAAGTCCCTTGTATTAACCAACAAAAGGTGTCCTGTGACCCTCTTCAAAGTTGACGAAAGCTGTTAGAAAAACATGTGATCTCTTGAAAATCATGTATTGCTTTGCTGCTAAAACGCCTGTATAACTCCCGAGTGTCTGGGTCAAATTCAACCTTTTACAGTTTCGTTGTATTGTTAGAAGTGTCCATGGCCTAGTAATCTGTGTAATTAATGAACAAATCAACTGTGCTGCTTGTACTATGACCTCTTGTCTATACCCCTCACAATCATAGCCTTCGTTCTATGTTTTCTATTTCACTTCCCAAATCTTTTCAGATACTTTGTTCTATTCTTATATTATCAGATGCCTGTGTTAGTCTAAACTATCTCTTGTTAATATGGCTAATGTTTATAGCCTCTGCCATTTATTACAAGAAATAGTACTTTGAGTACATACCTCATTTCTGGTACTGTTCTTGGTCCTAGGGGTACAGCAGTGTAAAAAGACAAACGTTTCTGGCCAGGCATGGTGGCTTATGCATATAGTCCCAGAACTTGGGAGTCCAAGGTGGGACAAATGCTTGAGGTCAGGAGTTTGAGACCAGCTTGGGCAAAATATCAAGACCCTTTCTCTACATTGTTTTGTTTGTTTGTTTGTTTTTTGAGACAGAATATTTCTCAGTTGCCAGGCTGGAGTGCAGTGGTGCGATCTCAGCTCACTGCAACCTCCACCTCCCAGGTTCAAGTGATTCGCCTCCGTCAGCCTCCTGAGTAGCTGTGACTACAGGCGCGCCACCACGCACAGGTAATTTTTGTATTTTTACTAGAGATGGGGTTTCTCCATGTTGGCCAGGCTGGTCTCAATCTCTTGACCTCGTGATCTGCCCTCCTTGGCCTCTCAAACTGCTGGTATTACAGGCATGAGCCATCACGCCCGGTGATTCACACCTGTAATCACAGCTACTCAGGAGGCTGAGAAAGGAGGATCACTTGAGCTCTGCAAGCCAAGGCTGCAATAAGCTATAATCATGCCACTGTACTCCAGTCTGGGTAACAGAGTTAGATCCTGTCTCTCTCTCTCTCTCTCTCTCTCTCTCTCACACACACACACACACACACACACACACACACACACACAAAGACAAACATTTCTGCCATCATGGACATTATGTGGTGTTTGTAGTGATAAAAATATATCTAAATGTGTGTTATTTGCCTTTAGCAGGACACTGCACAATGCAAAGTTCTTCTGGCTATTAGCTGATTATCAGTGAACATTCTTAACAGCCAGATTACATTTACCACCATGTGTACTTGTGTTTGTGTGTGTTTGTGTGTATATATGTGTGTGTGTGTGTGTAATTCTCAACTAAGTTTCCCAATCACCTGCTCTGTATGATATCCCAGATTTTAAAACCTTATTTATTTATCATTAATATCTGCATAAAGATTGCCTTTCTATTAAGTATTTCCAATCTAATGCATAATCTCAGATGTGACAATATAAAATATTATTGATCATTAAAAAGACTTTATATACAGTGCACTGATACCTCCTTAGCTGTTCTAACAAGGCTGCTCTTTGTTAGTCTGTCAGTTTTAGGTAATATATCACATGGTCTTACCAAATCTATGTCCATGTTTCTAACACTTGATTAATGCAATTTGGATAATATGGTTGACAAAGATTCAGCTTCTGCCATTCTCTTAATTGTCTGACTGCTGATTCTGTATCTCCAAAGCTACAGTTTTATTATTGTTGTTTTGTTTTACTTTGCTTTTTTACCTATTTACCTCTGATATGGTTTGCCTGTGTCCCTACCCAAATCTCGTCTTGAATTGTACCTCCAATAATTCCCACATCTTGTGGGAGGGACCCAGTAGGAGACAATTGAATAATGGAAGCGATTTCCCCCCATACTGTTCTCATGGTCGTGAATAAGTCTCATGAGATTTGATGTTTTACAAGGGGTTTCCCCTTTTGCTAGGCTCTCTCTCTTGCCCACTACCATGTAACAAGTCCCTTCGCTCTCTTTTCATCTTCTGTCATGATTGTGAGGCTTCCCTCGCCATATGGAACTGAGTCAATTAAACCTCTTTGCTTTATAAATTACCCGGTCTTGGGTATGCCTTTATTAGCAGCATGAAAACAGACTAATACCTCTTAATGCAAGTATTTTCTAGTTTGATTACCTTATCTTGAATATCTCCATGTAAAATAATCTCATGATTTAATTTTTATCTTTTTTTTTTTTTTTTTTTTTGAGGTGGAATCTCACTCTGTCACCTGGGCTGGAGTGCCGTGGCACAATCTTGGCTCACTGCAACTTCTGCCTCTGCAGTTCAAGTGATTCTCCTGCCTCAGCCACCTGAGTAACTGGGATTGCAGGAATGCACCACCATACCCAACTAAATTTTTTGTATTTTTAGTGGAGATGGGGTTTCACCATGTTCACCAGGCTGGTCTCAAACTCCTGGCTTCAAGTGATCTGCCCTCTTAAGCCCCTCAAAGTACTGGGGTTACAGGAGTGAGCCACCATGTCTGACCCTAATTATTCTTTACATGTGTCACCGCCACTCCTGAAAGTTTCTAGGGGCTGCAAGATAAAGTGTCCTACGTGTTATGGAAAACTCATTCCTGCCCATTCCTGCATTGTATAGGCTACTAAATTTGATCTTATTTCTTTCTACTAGAACTTTACAATTCTTTATGTTTTTTATTTTATTTTGTACATCATCACAAATACTTCACTGACACCTCAGTTTGTGTTTGCCTTCAGATAATTTCTATATAAATGGAGCTTGTGCAAATATGTGTATTTTACACTTTTCTAACTATAATTTACATTTTAGGATTCCATATGCCATATTTCATTCACATTTTTTTTAACTTTTAAGTTCAGGGGTATATGTGCAGGTTTGTTACATAGGCAAACGTGTCAAAGGGGTTTGATGTACAAATTATTTCATCGCCCAGGTATTAAGCCTAGTGTCCATTAGTTATTTTTCCCAATTATCTCCCTTCTGCCACCCTCTACCATATGAAAGTTCCCAGTGTCTGTTATTACCCTCTATGTGTCTATGTTTTCTTATCATTTAGCTCCCAGGTATAAGTAAGAACATGTGGTATTTGGTTTTCTGTTCCTGTGTTACTTTGCTAAGGATTATGCCTCCAGCTCCATCCATGTCCCTGAAAAGGACATATTCCCATTCTTTTTTACGACGCATAGTATTCCGTGGTGTTTATGTACCACATTTTCTTTATCCAGAGTATCACTGATGAGCATTTGGGTTGATTCCATGTCTTTGCTGTTGTGAATAGTGCTGCAATGAACATACACATGCATGTGTCTTTATAACAGAACAATTTACGTTTCTTTGGCTGTATCCCTAGTAATGGGACTTCTGGGTCAAATGGTATTTCTGCTTTTACATCTTTGAGAAATTGCCACATTGTCTTCCATAATAGTTGAACTGATTTACACTCCCACCAGCAGTGAAAAGTGTTCATTTTTCTCCACAACCATGACAGCATCTGTAACTTTTTGGCTTTTTAATACTATTCATCTGGCTGGTGTGGGATGGTATTTCATTGTGGTTTTCATTTGTCTTTCTCTAATGATCAGATATGTTTAGCTTTTTTTCATGATTGCTGGTTGTATGTATGTCTTCTTTTGAGAAGTGTCTGTTTATGTCCTTTGCCCACTTTTTTAATGCGGTTGATTTTTTCTTGTATATTTGTTTAAATTCCTTAGAGATGCTAGATATTAGACCTTTGTCAGATGCATAGTTTGCAAAAATTTTCTTCCATTCTGTAGGTTGTCTGTTTACTCTGTTGATAGTTTCTTTTGCTGTGCAGAAGTTCTTTAGTTTGATTAAATCCCATTTGTCAATTTTTGCTTTTGTTGCAATTACTTTTGGTGTTTTCATCATGAAACCTTTGCTCATGCCTATGTCCTGAATGGTATTGCCTAGGTGGTCTTCCAGGGTTTTTATAGCTTTTGGTTTTACATTTAAGTTTTTAACCCACTTTGCGTTAATTTTTGTAGATGGTGTAAGGAAGAGGTCCAGTTTCAATTTTTTGCATATGGCTAGCCAGTCATCCCAGCACCATTTATTGAATAGGGAACCATTTATTGAATAGGAAAAACTTTTCCCACTCCTTGTTTTTGTCAGATTTGTCGAAGATCAGATAGTTGTATATATGCAGTCTTATTTCTGAGTTCCCTATTCTGTTCCATTGGTTTAATGTGTCTGTCCTTGTGCAAGTACCATGGTGTTTTGGTTACTGTCATAGCCCTGTAGCATAGTTTGAAGTTGGGTAGCGTGATGCCTCTAGCTTCGTTCTTTTGCTTAGGATTGCCTTGGCTATTTGGGCTTTTATTGTTGCATGTGAATTTTAAAATAGTTTTTTTCTAGTTCAGTCTCATTCACAGAAGTTTTATGGTACAACAATTTTGTACAGTACTTCTTAAAATCCCATTTGTAGGAAGGCATTGATATGTAAGACTTACAAATACTTACTTGTTATGTTGTTGATATAATAGTTTTTAAAGGATGACATATTGAGCTCAATAAAACAGCAGCCTTATTCTGAATTTGAGGAAAAATGGAAATAATTAGAATTATTAAGTTATTGTGCAAATGACTTTATTGAGACGTGATTGTTATACAAAATGCTGTACATATTTAATGTATACAACTTGAGTTTGGAGACAAGTCTATACCTGAGAAGTTATCACAATCCATGCTGTAAACGTCTCCTTCACTTCCAAAAGTTTTCTTTCTCTTTATTCATTATTATTATGTTTTGTCATGAGAATACTACATAAGAAGTATTATTTCATTAAAATGTTAAATATATGTTATAGTATTCCTAACTAGAGGCACTAGGCTGTACAGCAGATCTCTAAGACATTCACCTCGATAAAGTGTCCTTTTTAAGGAAAAAATACTGTATTAGTCTGTCCTCACACTGCTAATAAAGATATACCTGAGACTGAGTAATTTATAAGAAAAAAGAAGTTTAATGGGCTCACAGTTTCACATCACTGGGGATACCTCACAATCATGGTGGAAGGTGAAGGAGGAGCAAAAACATGCCTTACATGGCAGCAGGCAAGAGAGCATTTGCAGGTAAACTGCCCTTTATAAAACCATCAGATCTCATAACACATATTCACTATCATAAGAACAGAATAGTAAAAACCTGCCCCCATGATTCAATTACTTCTCACTGAGTCACTCCCATGAAACACGGGGATTTTGGGAGCTACAATTCAAGATGAGATTTGGGTGGCCAATCCATAGCAAGTACCATATGAACTTTCTAAAATATAAATTATTACTAATTTCATTGCATTCTTTTTAATAAGTAAGATAGTTATCCTATATTTAAAACATAAGAATCATAAAAAGCAAGGAACATATTTACATGAAATCCATATTTCTTGCTCAGTTTGTACTGCATATTAATATATAATATTAGAAATCATAGCTATCATTTTATAAAGTAGAAATTAATGTAATAAGATCATTTAAATTTTACATAAGTAGAGACATGACTCTACGAAATTCAGAAAATTTCCAACTCTATTATAATGTATTTTTCTCAATGAAACAATTTGGTAAATATAGAAATATTGTAATATAACATTGTATAGATTAGCAGAAATTAAGATTTCAAGTCATATAAGAAAAGTACTAATGTTTGTGATTTGGAAAATATAGCGTAAACTTATAAACCAAAATGAATATATTCAGTGCTACCTTAATTTTTTTGGTATTTTATGAATGTCTTTTTTTTAAAGTTTTGCAAAATTGTCATTCCATTCATGGAAGTAATTTTTTTCTTAAGTAGCACTCAAGTAGCAAAATTTAATATTTATGTATGTTAAAAATAAGAATGTCAGATGTCAACAGCTGTGATACAATTAGAGGTTTTCTTTTTGTAAGCAATTAACATATGCACATGCACACAAAGACAACTCCTTCTATTAAAAGCATGCTTTCTTACTAATAGTTAATGGCTTACATAACTGAAAAAAAATTCTAAAACTCTTCTCATTTGAATCCTTTCTGAAGGTTAAGTTTGTTTTATTTTATTCATTGTATTTTTTGTTAACTTTCTCTCTTCTAAGGAATAAAGCACTTAATATTTTTTCAATAGAGGTCATCATCACGGAGCACCTCAGGAGGTAAGAAAAGTAATTCATACATTTCTTATACAAACAGACTCTTCAGAGACCTCCCACGGGTACAGCCCAGTTAAAATATGTTTAATTTCATCCTCAGGTGATTTTAGCAGGAAACAATTTCATCTCTACAAAGAGCTAGCAAAGCCATATCTGCAATTTAAAGATAAATTTACAAATACAATCTTACACTGCTCTACATGACACTGTGTGCATTTTAATTTCAAAATCTTAATGGATAAAGTAAACATTATTGCAAATATATTTTAACACAAGTAATCCTTTATGTATTAAGCAATTCCAAATAATATCAGATATTCTAAACAAGTAACTTCTCAGCTCTCCATTGAGAAATATTTCATTGTAAATACTTTACATTACAATAACTACTATTACTAATATTATTGCTACTATTTTAAAAACACACACATTGTCTCTACTAAAACCATAAAAATAAAATTAGCTGGGCGTGGTGGCGGGCACCTGTAGTCCTAGCTACTCTGGAGGCTGAGGTGGGAGAATGGCCTGAACTCGGGAGGCGGAGCTTGCAGTGAGCCCAAATCGTGCCACTGCGCTTCAGCCTGGGCGACAGAGTGAGACTCTGTCTTAAAAAAAAAAAAACTAAAAAAACTAAAAAAACACGCATATATATGTTTAGTATTTACCATCTTCCAAGCACTATTTAAATGCTTTATATGTATTGCATGTATCAATTTTTTTTTAATCCTTTCTCTGCAAACTTTTCGGAAATTTGTCTGCGTCCCAAATCATCAATTTCATGATGGTGTATCCTAGTTCAAGACCGTTTTCATTCATTGTGTATGTTCCTAATAATGCCCTTTCTACTTTTCATATTCTTCAGTTTGAAGATTTTTTAAAAAAAAATTTAAATTATTTTCTTATCTTTTTTTGTTTCCTATTATTTGGAGTCTAGACTTCATGAATTGAAGGTTATAAGATTATGTTACACTTTTCAGAATTCTAGCAGTTGAGTCAGCAAAGAGGACTGAAAGAGTTCCACTTTCAATCCCAGAATTTCACTCAGTTCGCCTTGTCAGAAAATAGCAAAGACTTGGAACCAACCCAAATGTCCAACAACGATAGACTGGATTAAGAAAATGTGGCACATATACACCATGGAATACTATGCAGACATAAAAAATGGTGAGTTCATGTCCTTTGTAGGGACATGGATGAAGTTGGAAACCATCATTCTCAGCAAACTATCGCAAGGACAAAAAACCAAACACGGCATGTTCTCACTCAGAGGTGGGAATTGAACAATGAGAAAACATGGACACAGGAAGGGGAACATCACACTCTGGGGACTGTTGTGGGGTGGGGGGAGGGGGGAGGGATAGCATTTGGAGATATACCTAATGTTAAATGACGAGTTAATGGGTGCAGCACACCAACATGGCACATGTATACATATGTAACTAACCTGCACATTGTGCACATGTACCCTCAAACTTAAAGTATAATAAAAAAAATAAAGAAAGTTTTCTGGACTTTGTTTGATTCTATCTTTTCAGAGTCCTTCTGATTCACTCTTTTTGAAAAATTAATCTCTAATCATCTGCCTGGTTAGGACAGAATCAGTTACTCAGTTATGAGGATTGAGAATGAGATCTGGAGAAATAACTGCTTCTTAAACAAAATTTCACCTAACTCTTTGGGAAAAACAAACAAACAAAACAACTTAGTTTTTCTTTTACATTCAAGATATTACCCCAATTTCTGATAATGGTGTTCTGCCAATCAGTTCGCTTCTTGATATTTCTGTGTTGGATTGATTAACGTTCGTCATATGCTTTTTACTTTCTCTAAGTGCGTCACAGTTTCGTCTCATTTTTGTGCTGTTCTGACAAATTTAGTTGAGTTTTTGAAGGCAGTAGAGATATATTCGGTTTACTGTTTAAATGATTCTCTATACTTTTTTATTTGAAGGAGTTGATCAACCATGCATCTGTAATGTCCTAAAAATATAAAAATTGGATAGTCATCTTCTATTAGCATTATTACTCTTAGAGGCTAATTATGGTCAGGAAAACAAGTTTTGTTTCTGTTACTGTTGCATGTTTGTTTTCTTCTTTTGCTTTGTTTGATTTGATTTTGTTTTGCCCTTATTCTCCATTTAGACACCATTGTTCATTCAGGCTGCTGCTAATTCTTATCTGTACATTCAGTGTCCACAAAGTAAACACTCTCTTCTGTTTTCAAATGTCAACAACTCATTATTAATAACTTACTACAGTGTTACATTTTGTTTCTTCAAGGCACGTGATGGTTAATACTGAGTGTCAATTGACTGGATTGAAGAATGCAAAGTATTGATCATGAGTGTGTCTGTAAGGGTGCTGACAAAGGAGATTAACATTTGAGTCAGTGGGCTGGGAAAGGCACTTAATCTGGGTGGACACCATCCAATCAGCTGCCAGCACAGCCAAAATACAAAGCAGGCAGAAAAAAAACGTGAAAAGGCTAGACTGGCTTAGCCTTCCAGCTTACATCTTTCTCCTGTGCTGGATGCTTCCTGCCCTCAAACACTGGACTCCAGGTTCTTCAGCTTTGGGACTCGGACTGGCTTCCTTGCTCTTCAGCTTGCAGACAGCCTATTGTGGGATTTGTGATTGTGTAAGTTAATACCACTTAATAAACTCCAGGATATTTATATATCCTATTAGTTCTGTCCCTCTAGACAACCCTGACAAATACAGATTTTGGTAAAAGGCGTGTTTCTAGAGGAACAGAATATTAAGGATGAAGTTCTTTTGTTGGTTTTGGGGTTTCTGGAGTTGGCTGCTTAATATGATTAGACCCCAAAATGCTAATGACTCTACTTCTAATAGTATGGAGAACACTGATTTTCCTTGGTGTGAACTGTTTAGAGTTATGCAAAATAAATGCATTTGACACTCCCAACTCACTGCTTATGAGAGGCAAGGAGTTTAGTAACCCTATACATAATACCTTTGACTACAGGTGGAGAACAAATGAACATAATGAAGTTGGTTGGTTGCTCCTAAGCTCACTGGGGAAAGTGATGAAGAAAAATGATGAACTCAGGAATTATAACTCCAGTTTCAGAAGCAGATATTGAGCTTCAAATCTGCTAAGATTGCCATGAGTGAGAGTCTTATCTCCTGTAGAGAAAGAGCTGAAATGGTGGAAAATCAGACACAAGCTCTTATCATGTGAGTGGCTGACCTGCAATGAAAGGTGCATGCACAGCCTCACCAGGTGTCTACTGTTAAAGTGAGGGCATTGATTGAAAAAAAAATGGGACCCTGCTACTTTGAATGTGGACATGAGGGAGGACCCTGATGAAGCTGGGGACACTGAGCTTGTAAACTCTGATGAATCTTTTGATCAGAAGAAACAGCTTCTGCATCCCTAGTAGTGGCAATATCCCCTCCCCAATCCATGCTGCCATCAGCCTTTCCACTTTTGTCTGAGAAGATAAACCCTGTGCTGCCTGAGGCAACAGTGATGGTGTCCCGTGAGGCAGTTGCCAGGAAAGATAATGTTGATTCTCCTCAGGAGCCACCCCCCAAACCCCTGTTGGCTCCTAGACCTATAAATAAAGTCCCGGTGGGCCCCTAGAGGTGAGGTTGAGAGTGTGACCCATGAGAAGATGTGCTACACTCAAAAAGAACTCCTTGAGTTTTCTAATTTATATAAACAGAAATCTGGAGAACAGGCATGGGAATGGATATTAAGGGTGTGGGATAATGGTGGAAGGAATATCAAGTTGGATCACGCTGAGTTTATTGATTTAGGTCCACTAAGTAGGGACTCTGCATTTAATGTTGCAGCTTGGGGAGTTAAAAAAGATTCTAATAGTTTATTTGCTTGGTTAGCTGAAATATGGATTAAAAGATGACCCAGTGTGAGCAAGCTGGGAATGCCTGATCTCCCTTGGTTTAACGTAGAGGAAGGCATCCAATGGCTTAGGGATATTGGGATAGTGGAGTGGATTAGTCACTTTAGATTAGTCATTTCAGCTGGGAAGGTCCAGAAGATATACCCTTGACTAAAGCTTTGCAAAACAGATTTGTGAGTGTAGCACCTGCATCTTTGAAGAGCCCTGTAATAGCTCTTTTCTGTATGTCAGATGTAACAATGGAACTGTAGTCACTCAACTACAAAATTTAAATACAATGGGAATAATTGGATCCCGAGGTGGCAGGGGCCAAGTAGTGACTATCAAAGGCAACTGTCAAAGGCAGTGTGGGTGTGGCTACCTTAATGGATAGCAGAGGCAAGGCAGCCATGAGAGTAGTCTGAGTCATGCAGAGCTTGGCATTGGCTAATTAATCACAGTGTTCCTAGAAGTGAAATTGACAGGAAATCTAAAGCATTCCTACTTAATTTATATCAGGTCAAATGGAAAAAAAGACTAATTTGAATTATAAAAACAGAGAATCATGCCCCCTCAATCAGTTTCCAGACTTGATCCAGTTTATAGAACCAGAACCCCTTGAACGAAGGGGAGGCCTGATCCCCTTGAGGAAGGACCCCACCATACTACTGACAATGTATGCTGTTAATCGTTCTTCCATCCTTCCCCAAGAAGACTTCTGGCCTTTTACCAGGGTAACTGTGCATTGGAGAAAGGGAAATGATCAGACATTTTTGGGACTACTGGACACTGGCTAGAGCTGACATTGATTCTGGAGGAACCAAAACGTCACTGTGGTCCTCCAGTTAAAGCAGGGGCTTATGAAGGTCACATAATTAATGGAGTTTTAGCTTAGGTCCGACTTACAGTGGGTTCAGCAGGTCCCCAGACTTGTCCTCTGATCATTTCCCCAGTGCCAGAATGCATAATTGGAATAGGCATACATAGCAGCTGGCAGAACCCCCACATTGGTTCCCTGACTGGTAGGGTGAAGGTTATTATGGTTAGAAAGGCCAAATAGAAGCCATCAGAGATGCTTCTACCTAGAAAAATTGTAAATCAAAAACAATATCACATCCCTGCAGGGATTACAGAGATTAGTGCCACCATCAAGGACTTGAAAGACACAGGGGTGATGATTTCCACCACATCCCACTTCAACTCTCCCATTTGGCTTGTGCAGAAGACAGTTGGATCATGGAGGATGACAGTGGATTATCATAAGCTTAACCAAATGTTGACTCCAATTGCAGCTGTTGTGCCGCATGTGGTTTCATTGCTTGAACAAATTAACATATCTCCTGGTACCTGGTATGTAGCCATTGACTTGGCGAATGCCTTTTTTTTCCATTTCTGTCTATAAGGCCCACCAGAAGCAATTTGCCTTCAGCAGGCAAGGGCAGCAATATACCTTTACTGTCCTACCTCAGGGGTATATCTTCGGCCTTCTGTCACAGTCTTACAAGGAGAGACTTTGATCACTTTTCACTTCCACAAGATATCACACTGGTCTAATACATTGAAGACATTATTCTGATTGGATCCAGTGAGCAAGACAGGCCCTGGTGTGAAGCTGGAAACCATCATTCTCAGCAAACCATCGCAAGGACAAAAAACCAAACACTGAGCGTTCTCACTCATAGGTGGGAATTGAACAATGAGAACACTTGGACACAGGAAGGGGAACATAGTGTGCATTCTTACTGTCCCACTGATAGGCCATTCCTTTTCTCCCTCCCTCTGCTCAAGCCACCTTATTCCCTAAGAGACAATATTGAACTTAGGCCAATTGATAACCCTATGATGACCTCTAAGTGTTCAAGTAACAGGAAGATCAGTCTGTCTCTCCCATTAAATCAAAAGCTAGAAATGATTGAGCTTAATGAGGAAGGCATGAGATGGGCCAAAAGCTAGGATTCTTGCATCAGATAACCAAGCTCTGAATGTAAATAAGTTATAAAATGAAATTAAAAGTGTTATTCCACGTATGCATTGCAAGAAAGCAAAACAGCCTTATTGGTGACATGAAGAAAGTTTGGTACTCTGGATAGATCAAACCAGGGATAACATTCCCTTAAGCCAAAGCCTAATGAAGAGCAGAATGGTAACTCTTTAATTCTATGAAAGCTGGGAAAGCTGGTGAAGCTGCAGAAGAAAAGTTGGAAACTAACAGAGATTGATTCATGAGGTTTAAGTAAAGAAGCTGCCTCTATAACTTCAAAGTGCAAAGTGAGGCAGCAACTGCAGATGGAAAAGCTGCAGCAAGTTATTCAGAAGCTCTAAATAAGACAATTGATAAATATGGCTATACTTAAGTATAGATAAAACAGCCTTCTATTGGAAATAGGTGCCATCTAGAACTTCCACAGCTGGAAAGAAGGCAATGCCTGGCTTCAAATCTTTAAAGAACAGGCTGATTCTCTTGTTAGGGGCTAATGCAGCTGGTGATCTGAAGTTGAAGCCAGTAGTCATTTACCATTCTGAAAATCCTAGGGCCCTTAAGAATTATGCCAAATCTAATCTGCCTGTGCTCTAGAAATGAAACAAAGCCTGAATTAAAGCACATCTGTTTTCAGCTTGGTTTACTAAATATTTTAAGCCCGATGTTGAGACCTAATGCACAGAAAAAAATATTAATTCCAAAATATGACTGCTCATTGACAATGAATCTGTTCACCCAAGAGCTCTGTTGTAGATGTGCATGGAGGTTAATATTGTTTTCATACCTGCTAACACCATATGCATTCTGCATCCTATGAATCAGGGAGTAATTTTAACTTTCAAGTCTTATTTGATAAATAAATACCTTAAGGTTATAGCTGGCATAGATAGTGATTCCCCTGGTTGATATGAGAAAAGTAAATTGAAAACCTTCTGAAAAGGATTCACCATTCTAGGTGCCATTAAGAACATTCATGATACATTGGAGAAGGTCAAAATATCAACATTAACAGGGGTTTGGAAGAAGATGATTAAAACCCTCATTGATGACTTCGAGAAGTTCAAGATTTCAGTGGAGGAAGTAACTGCAGATGGGGTGGAAATAGCAAGAGAACTAGAGTTAGAAATGGATCCCGAAGATGTGACTGAATTGCTGCAATCTCATGATCAAACTTGAGTAGAATGGGGAGTTGCTTCTTATGGATGAGGAAAGAAAATGTTTCTTGAGATGAAATCTTCCAGTAAAAATGCTGTGAACATTGTTGAAATGACAACAAATAAAATTACATAAACTTAGTTAATAAATCAGTAGCAGAGTCTGGGAGGATTGGCTTCAATTTTGAAAGTTCTATTGCAAGTAAAATGCTGTGGTAAAAGCATCACATGCTACAGATAATTCTTTAGTGAAAGAAATAACCAAGTAAGGAGGCAAACTTCATTATCATCTTGTTTTAAGAAATTGTCACAGCCATTTCAACCTTCAGCCACCACCACCCTGGTCAGTCAGCAGCCATCAGCATCAACAAAAAATTATTACTTACTAAAGGCTCAGATGATTTTTAGCATCTTTTAGCAATAAAGTATTTTTAATCAAGATATATACATCATTTTGTTTAGACAAAACATAATGCTATTGTGCAGTGAATAGATCACAGAATAGTGTAAACATCCCTTTTACGTGCACTGGGAAACCAAAAATTTTATGTGATTTGCTTTATTGCAATATTGAGGTGGTCTGGGGACAAACTCAAAATACCTCTAAGGTATATCCAATATCCTGTACATACTTTCTTTTCTGTTTACTTACAAGATCTAAAAGAAAAATTTTGCAAAACCTTTATACCTTTGTATAATATATATATTTTTGAGACAGAGTCTTGATCTGTTGCCCAGGCTAGAGTGCAGTGGCACTATCTCTGATCACTGCAACCTCCGCCTCCTGGGTTGAAGCGATTATCCTGCCTCAGCCTTCGGAGTAGCTGGGATTACAGGCATGCACCACCATGCCTGGTTATTTTGTATTTTTAGTAGAGATGGGGTTTCATCATGTTGGCCAAGCTGGTCTCGAACTCCTGACCTCAAGAGATCCACCCGCCTTGGCCTCCCAAATTGCTGGGATTACAGGCGTGAGCCACTGCGCCTGGCCCCTGTAATTTTAATGATCCAGGATATTTGACAACTTAAACTTGAGAGAAAATAGATGATCCATTGTACTATCATCTTTTGTATTTCATCCTTTGAGATTTTTAGTTTTATTATGATATAAAGAATGTATTAAACCAAATAAAATTCTGTCTTTTTAATGATCAGGTAATATTTTTACATAGTAACTAAATTCGTATCAATGTAAAACATTGTAGTAGGCTGAATAGTGTCTCTTCAAAATTCATGTTCTCCTGAAACTTCAGAATGCGACCTTATTGGAACATAGGGTCTTTGCAGAGGTAATTAGTTAAAGGCCTCATGATGAAATCATCCTGGATTTGGGTTTGATTCTAAACCCAGTGACCGTATCCTTGTAAGAATAGACGAGTATATAATGAGACTTAAAGAGAAAGCAAGACCAAGTGAAGATGGAGGCAGAGATTGGAGCTGTGCTGCCACAAACCACAGAACACTAGTGACCACCAGAAGTAGATGGGGAAAAAAAGGATTCTCCCCTAGAGTCTTAGAAGGTACTATGGCCCTACTAACACCTTTATTTCAGACTTCTGATCTCCAGAACTGTGAGAGAACAAATTTCTGTTGTTTTAAGGCATCTACCTTATGGTACCTTAATATGGCGGTGCTAGGAAACAGATACAAAATGTGAGCAGAAGAATGAAACACAATATGTTGGAGATTGAGTTCTGCAAAATGCCTTATATGCCTTATTAAACAAATATTTAACCATCAGCTATGTCATAAGTGCTGTTACATATTTGAAAGATAAGTTGCACTAATATGCAATCAAATAATGTTTCTGCTGATAAAGGAATTATAATATAGTAAAAGAGAAAGACAAAAATAATTGCTGTGCAATATGATGAGTAAAATGAAAGAAACTAGATGTGTTTGTTAATTAGAGAAGGACGAGATGGAGCTGTGAATGAGAGAGGTTATAAATTAGAGCAGTAATGACAGGAGATTCAAATACTCCTTGAAGAATCAAAACATGAAACTTCATTAGGTTATTACGAATGAGCTTTTCATATTTAAGAATAGGAGAGTGTTCTTCCGTCTGTGGGCAATAGAGGTATAGGTAGAAAAGGCTACCTGTCAATTTGTACGAACAGTTTTATTTGTTAAGGATTAGTAATTTCAACAATGAGAGGCATATAATATACTGGTATTCTCTAATGTAATGACTAAAAATAAATACACAGTTCCTTTAAAACTGATATGTTCTATGAAATCTTTATAAAAAGTTTCTGAGATGAATACGTTTTACTGGATATTGGATATTTTCAACCATGCTAAAGTAAGCAGTTTTAAATTTAATTAAAAACGAATATATCAATAAGGAGTATCAGCTGAGTATAGAATGTATCAGATAAGTATATAATGAGACTTACAGCAAGACCAAGTGAAGATGGAGGCAGAGACTGGAGCTGTGCTGCCACAAACCACAGAACACTAGCGACCACCAGAACTAGATGGGGAAATTAATTAAATTCAAAATCATATGCATTTAATCTACTCCTATTATCCTGGGATTCTGAATGTTTAATCTAATTCAGTAAAAATACTAATATTGTAATTATAGTGGAGCCAGAAATTTAGCAGTTAGAAATTTGCATAATCTCAAATGGAATAATTTGAAAATTGTTGCATTCAGGAAAACCTGTAGCCTAAACTCTTCAAGATATAAGTGAATTAAAAATGTACAAACTACAGTAATAGGGCAATATAGTTAAAAGTGTAAAAGTAAACGATGCAAGAGAATATATATTAAAAATAGAAAATTAAGGAATGCATATCATAAAAAATTTCATATATTTATAAAGTCATATTATACACATCATGATTATATATTTTAAAGCAATTTAGAAAGACAAGCAAAGAAAAAAACATAAAACACTGAAACACATAATTGATGCTTGAATATTTTAGTAATCATTGACATCATGTGATATCTACTACTCAGAAAAGATACACAAGAGTGAACAACACAAAAATGCGTATTTTAATCTGAAGGCTTGAGGTGAAGAAATAAAATTTATTTTCTCTTTCATTACTCATTATTTTCTATTCCAAGTAATATCCAAATATTTTGTCATCATATTCTTACCTTCTGTTTCTCACACGTGCTTAAAGAGAAAATAATTGTATATAAAATTAGTTTCTTACTAATTTACCTGTTTAATGGATTCATTTTCAGCAAAGGAAGACAGAAACTTACTTTTAATCACTCTTAATCACCTATCTTACGTTAGATGATGTTTAATAAAGTACATTCATATGCATTTGGGCAGAATTTTATTGTACTATAGCTTACACATTGCTTTGTGTTTAATTCCTTACCCATATAATGATCTGATAATCTTATTAGTAAAATTAAAACGTGAATAAACTATCTTTCCTCTCTTCCTTAAGTAATCACATCTCCTGAAGTATAAATTGTGACACTTGATTGTGTCACCAATTCTTGCTTTTTCATTATATTTTTAAAATAATTTGCTGGAGACATGGGGCTAAGGAATTACTACTAAAAATGAATAACTGTCATTTTTATTGATATTTATGTCCGAAAACATACTTTATTTATTTATTTAGAGATGGAGTCTTGCACTGTAGGCTGGGCTGGAGTGCAGTGGCACGACCTTGACCCACTGGAAACTCCGCCTCCCAGGTTCAAGTGATTCTCCTGCCTCAGCCTCCTGAGTTGCTAGGATTACAGGTGCCCACCACCACGCCTGGCTAACTTTTTGTATTTTTAGTACAGACAGGGTTTCACTATGTTGTTCCGGCTGGTCTAGAACTCTTGACCTCCCAATCTGCTCACCTCAGCCTCCGAAAGTGCTGGAATTACAGGCGTGAGCCACCGCACCTGGCTGAAAATATGCTTTTTAAGTATTTTCAATAATTTATTTACTAATTATTTGTTATTAAGTCTAAGTGTTCTACTCCTGACCAAAACAACTGCAACAACAACAACAAAAACTTACAAAAATCTCCATTGTGCCTAACAACATGGTCCTCGAAGCAGTTAATGTGTACCTGGAGAGCCCGACAAGACTAGTAATTGAGTTTTGGTCAGAAAAAAAGAACATTCATATTTATTTAACATTAACCTTTATGCTTTACTACAATTTAATATGCAAGTTGATGAAATAGTTTTCACATAGAACATATATAAGATAATCTTTTTAAATAAGGAATATTCAAGAAATATTGAAGGAAATGTGGAAATTTTAAAATGCAGAGCCAAGTGCTTAAAAATTTGCCTTCATTTGTTTATTTTTCTTCAACATATTTCAGACAAATTTCAAGTCTATTTTTTGGAAGGATATCTTTTTTGTTATAAAATATATTTGGCCCTAGAAATATGCTTAGACTTTGTATGGTATATATATTTTCAACCTTTGACTTTCCAAATTACTGTACAGTTTACTCATGGACAACATGGATTTGAATAATATGGGTACCCTTACATGTAGATTTTTTCCAAGAAATATATTGCCAAATTATTTGAAGATTTGTTACAATTATAGAAAACTTGCAGATGAATCACATAGCCAAGAAATACCATAATACCATAAAAATTAAGAAAAGTTAGGTATGTCACAAATGCAATAAATATATATAGATCCTAGTCTATGTATGTGTTTATCACCTGTTTATGTTATCAGTAAGGAATCCTGTCAAATATTAGTAGTTAAGGTTATTAGTAGTAAAGTTTTGTAGGAGTCAAAAGTTATATACAAATTTTCAAAGGCACGGGGCATGGTGGGGGATGAAAGTCACTAACACTTGTGTTGTTAAAGTGTCAAATGTGTTAATGCAAGTCCCTTTAATTGTTGCAGTATAGTCATTATTGAATTACCAAGATTAAACTTTTCTTTTGAACTTCATTTTTTGTCGGTTTTCATTTAACAATTGTTAAAAATATGTTTGTTAAAACTTACTATTTTACGATTTGTTTTTTTACCTTACTTTTCTATGATGTTACCTCCTTTTTCATTTATACTTTTATTAACTTAGTATTTTTAATATCCCTTTTTTTCTATTTGAATGTCATATTCACACATGAATCATACCTATCAGTTATTCCAGAAATTACAACATGAATTATTAAAGTACAAAAATCTAATGTAATTAGTTATTTTACCTCTTTGAAAAACAACAGGGTACGTTAATAACTTTAACTCAATTTGCCTCTTAAAAATTCGAAGACATTAATGTTATATATTCTTTTTATAGCTTTGGATTTTTATCTGGATTTTTTTCCTGCTTCCCTGGACTTCCTTCTTTATCTTTGGCATTTGACTATTTTAAGCAATAGCTCTCCAAAGCGGACAATTATATATAATGTAGAGAATTTTAGAATTCATAGTAGTCTTGGACAATAATATTATTCCACATACACTGAAATTTTCTACTTTGTCACTATGACAGGAGCATAATTTCTTCTTTTTATTTTTAAAATTTAAGAGTCTTACAGCAATGTAGTTTTCATTTTCTCACTTTCACTGTTGTGGCTTATTATTGTGAGGCTTATACAATTATTATTTTATTTTAAGCAGTGAATTGTCATTTACAGAATCTATGTCTTTACCACTTCTGAGTCTTTTAATTTATGTACTTCAAGTTTCCACCTGTTATCATTTTCTCTAGGATTTCTCTAATGGGTCTAGAGTAGCTTATATTCGCCAGTGCATTAAGCCCTACATCTAAGTAAAAGCTTTTCTGACACTTTGAGTATTCAATAAGGTTGATCCACTCTGGCTGATAGATTTTCAATTTCTCACTAACCTGAGTAAGATCTATTAGTTGCTAAGGTTACAATTGCTGGCTAGTTGCTTTTCTTTTGTAGTTATATCTTGATCAGATGTATGGAGCCTTACCCTGGGTACGAAAATCTTTATCTCTATATGAAGTCTGAAACTTTTTAAAAAAAATTTCCAACCTCTCGTTTATTCTCCCCCGACTGTTCCAGAAACATCAACATTCCCAAAGTCCGTGACATGTTGTGTCAGACCAATAAGACTATCACAATCTTCTTTGTTTTTCTGTTGCTGTATTACGTCTGGAAAGTGTCTCCAGGCAGAAATTCAAGGAGAATTTGTGTTTCAACTTTTGTTTCCTATCTCTTAGGGAACACAATACATTCTTTTTAAATGTCTGACTACAGTTGAATTAAATATTTTTTTCTACTTTTCTAGTTTGTATTTTGTTTGTTTGTTTTGCTAGAGGGCTAGTCTTGTACATATTACTTCATGATTGCCGGACAAGGACTCCTTTCACTTTTGTTTTGAGACGGAGTCTCCCTCTGTCTCCCAGGCTGGAGTGCAGCGGCATGATCTCAGCTCACTGCAACCTCTGCCTCCAGGGATGAAGTGATTCTCCTGCCTCAGCTTCCCAAGTAGATGGGATTACAGGTGCCCACCAACACACCCAGCTAATTTTTGTATTTTTAGTAGAGATGGGGTTTCACTATGTTGGCAAGGCTGGTCTTGAACTCCTGACTTCAGGTGATTTGCCCGCCTCAGCCTCCCAAAGTGCTGGGATTGGAGGCATAAGCCACTGCGCCCAACCCCTTTCACTTATTTTTCAGCAAATTTATGCTGTGATAACTGCTCCATTTTTGCTTTATTCTTATTCCTAATATAAGTCCTTATTATGAGTCCACTATCAGAGGCATTTTCCAGCACACTTTGTTTGACAGGCCCAGGGGTCCTAAATTTCATCCCAGGAGTGCAAGTCTAAGAAGTGTACTCCTTCACATCCCTTGTAAGTTGGATTTCTAGGTATTTTATTCTCTTTGAAGCAACTGTGAATGGGAGTTCACTCATGGTTTGGCTCTCTGTTTGTCTGTTATTGGTGTATAAGAATGCTTGTGATTTTTGCACATTGATTTTGCATCCTGAGACTTTGCTGAAGTTGCTTATCAGCTTAAGGAGATTTTGGGCTGAGACAATGGGGATTTCTAAATATACAATCATGTCATCTGCAAAGAGGGACAATTTGACTTCCTCTTTTCCTAATTGAATACCCTTTATTTCTTTCTCCTGCCTGATTGCCCTGGCCAGAACCTCCAACACTACTGTTGAATAGAAGTGGTGAGAGAGGGCATCTCTGTCTTGTGCCAGTTTTCAAAGGGAATGCTTCCAGTTTTTGCCCATTCAGTATGATATGGGCTGTGGGTCTGTCATAAATAGCTCTTATTATTTTGAGATATGTCCCATCAATACCTAATTTATTGAGAGTTTTTAGCATGAAGGGCTGTTGAATTTTGTCAAAGGCCTTTTCTGCATCTATTGAGATAATCATGTGGTTTTTGTCATTGGTTCTGTTTATATGCTGGATTACGTTTATTGATTTGTGTATGTTGAACCAGCCTTGCATCCCAGGGATGAAGCCCACTTGATCATGGTGGATAAGCTTTTTGATGTGCTGCTGGATTCGGTTTGTCAGTATTTTATTGAGGATTTTTGCACTGATGTTCATCAGGGATATTGGTCTAAAATTCTCTTTTTTTGTTGTGTCTCTGCCAGGCTTTGGCATCAGGATACCACTGCTCAACCAAATAAAAGAAGACACAAACAAACGGAAGACCATTCCATGCTCATGGATAGGAAGAATCAATATCGTGAAAATGGCCATACTGCCCAAGGTAATTTATAGATTCAATGCCATCCCCATCAAGCTACCAATGACTTTCTTCACAGAATTGGAAAAAACTACTTTAAAGTTCATATGGAACCAAAAAAGAGCCCACATTCCCAAGTCAATCCTAAGCCAAAAGAACAAAGCTGGAGGCATCATGCTACCTGACTTTAAACTATACTACAAGGCTACAGTAACCAAAACAGCATGGTACTGGTACCAAAACAGAGATATAGACCAATGGAACAGAACAGAGCCTCAGAAATAATACTACACATCTACAACTTTCTGATCTTTGACAAACCTGACAAAAACAAGCAATGGGGAAAGGATTCCCTATTTAATAAATGGTGCTGGGAAAACTGGCTGGCCATATGTAGAAAGCTGAAACTGGATCCCTTCCTTACACCTTACACAAAAATTAATTCAAGATGGATCAAAGACTTAAATGTTAGACCTAAAACCATAAAAACCCTAGAAGAAAACCTAGGCAATACCATTCAGGACATAGGCATGGGTAAGGACTTCATGTCTAAAACACCAAAAGCAATGGCAACAAAAGCCAAAATTGACAAATGGGATCTAATTAAACTAAAGGGCTTCTGCAGAGCAAAAGAAACTATCATCAGAGTGAACAGGCAACCTACAGAATGGGGGAAAATTTTTGCAATCTACTCATCTGACAAAGGGCTAATATCCAGAATCTACAAAGAACTCAAACAAATTTACAAGAAAAAAACAACCCCATCAAAAAGTGGGTGAATGATGTGAACAGACACTTCTAAAAAGAAGACATTTATGCAGCCAACAGACACATGAAAAAATGCTCATCATAACTGGCCATCAGAGAAATGCAAATCAAAACCACAATGCGATACCATTTCACACCAGTTAGAATGGCGATCATTAAAAAGTCAGGAAACAACAGGTGCTGGAGAGGATGTGGAGAAATGGGAACACTTTTACACTGTTGGTGGGAATGTAAATTACTTCAATCATTGTAGAAGACAGTGTGGCAATTCCTCAAGGATCTAGAACTAGAAATACCATTTTACCCAGCAATCCCATTACTGGGTATATACCCAAAGGATTATAAATCATGTTGCTATAAAAACACATGCACACTTATGTTTATTGCGGCACTATTCACAATAGCAGAGACTTGGAACCAGCCCAAATGTCCATCAATGATAGACTGGATTAAGAAAATATGGCACTTATACACCATGGAGTACTATGCAGCCATAAAAAAAAGATGAGTTCATGTCCTTTGTAGGGACATGGATGAAGCTGGAAATCATCTTTCTCAGCAAACTATCCCCCGGACAAAAAGACAAACACCACATGTTCTCTCTCAGAGATGGGAATTGAACAATGAGAACACTTGGACACAGGAAGGGGAACATGACACACCAGGGCCTGTCGTGGAAGGGGGGAGGGGGGAGGGATAGCATTAGGAGATATACCTAATGTAAATGACGACTTAATGGGTGCAGCACACCAACATGGCTCATGTATACATATGTAACAAACCTGCACGTTGTGCACATGTACCCTAGAACTTAACGTATAATGAAAAAAAAAAAAGTGTACTCCTAGTTTCTCAAACTCTCTGCCATGTATCTTTGACAGGCAAACGACCACAGAGGAAATAAGCCACAAATATGGGCTCTACTTTCTAAACTTCCTTCTCCTTCTAACTAAGAAATTACTTATTATCTTGTTAAATAAGTTGTGTTTTCTACTTTTTTTAAAAAAGTACAAACTTCCTCATTATTTTTAGTAAAAGGGTTGACCTAGTTTATGTGGCTGATTACGGTCAGCAAATATTTTCTGTATATTTCCTCATTAGGAATATGTGTGGACCTCCTCCTCCTAATAGTCATGTTACTCAAATCATCCTTAATATTTCCCATGTTTTTAATTTCTGGCTTACTGGATAATTTCTCAGATCTCTATGCATGTTTATTAATATTTTATATGGATGTATAACCCCTCATTTTTATTAATGTTTTTATTTGAGATATATTTAGAGTCACATGAAGCAAGAAATAATACAGAAAGTTCCCTTGTGATCTTTACCCAGTCTCCCCCAATGGTAACATCTTGCAAAAAGACGAAGATATTGACATTGATACAATAGAAATAAAGAACACAATAAGAATCCCTCATGTTATCTTTTATAACCAACCTACTTTCCTCTAACCTGAACCCCTGTCTAAATTTTGTAATCTATTAATCTATTCTCTACCTCAACAACTTTGCCACTTCAAAGATATTACATAAATGAAATTCTAGAATAAAACCTTTTATGAGTGGTGTTTGTTGCTTAGCATAATTCTCTGGAATGTTATGTGTTATCTGTCCCAGTGATTTTCCTTATTACTGCTGAGAACTCTTCCATGGGATGAATGTACTAAATATTGTTAAACCATTGACCTATTGAAGAGCCTCCAGGTTGTTTCCAGATGTGGGTTATTAATAATAAAGATGCTGTATGCATTCATGTGTAGACTTTGTGTAAAAATGCATTTATTTCTCTCGGATGTATGCCAAGGAGTATAATGCTGGTTTGTACTGTATTTGCATGTTTAGTTTTTTAAAAAACTGCCAAAATATTTTCAGAGCATTTTTGCTATTTAACATTACCATTAGCAAGGTAGGAGTAATGTCATTTCTGCGTGTCCTTGTTAGCATTCGGTGTTGTCAATATTTTTTACTTCATCCATTCTGATGGGTGTAGGGCTATCTTCTGAGGTTTTAATTTGTATTGCTCTAGTGGCTAATAATGTTGAACATCTAATATGCTTACTTGCCATCTTTAGATCTTCTTCATTGAAATGTCTCATTATGGTTTTTTTTCCTATTTTCTAACTGTATTATTTGACTTTTTAGTGTTGAGATTTGAGAATTTTAAAATATATTTTAGACAGCAGTTCTTTGTGGGATGTGAATTAGGAAAATATTTATTTTTTCTAGTCTGCTGTTTGTCAGTTCCTTCTCTTAACAGAGTCTTTCACAAAGTGAAAGTTTTTCATTTTGATGAAGCCCAATTTATCAATGTATCCTTTTAAGGATCATGTTTTTGGTGTAAACTCTAAGCAATATTTGCCTATTTCTGAATCCTGAAAGTGTTTTCATCTTTTTTCTAAAGGTTTCATAGTTTTACTTTGTTGTATAAGTTCATGATAATTTTGAATTAATTTTTGTAAAATATATAAAATGTAGGTCAAGTTTTTAAAAATTTTGTTTTGTTTTATAATTTTGTCCTGCGGATGTCCAATTACTCTGCCACCACTCATTAAAAACTCTATCTTTACGCACTAAATTGCTTTTATTTATCATAATTGGTTGGGCACTTTTGCGTGGGTCTATTTATGGGATCTCTACTATGTTTCGTTGATCTATGTGTCTATTCCCCTAATTATACCATACATTCTTAGTCTGTAGCTGAGTAATAAGTCTTGAAATTGAGTATTGTGACTCCTTCCCATTATCCTTATTTTTAAAAATTATTTAGGCTAGTCTACTTTCCTTGTCTTACTATACAAATTTTTGAATAGTCATATCAATATCTAATGTAAATCTTGCTGGGATGTTGATTGTGATTGTGTTAAACACACATACAACTTTGGGAAATTGCCATCTTTATTTTATGTTAAATCTTTCAATCTGTGAGGCCGTATGTCACTCCATTGATTAAATATTTTCTAATATTTTTCATTACTGTTGTGTATTTTTCATGCAAAAGTCCTGCATGGTTTGGTTAAATGTACAGCTAAGCATTTTATTATATTTTTAGTGATTGTTAATTTTATTTTTTTTTAAATTTAACATCTGTGTTCATTTTAGTATATATAAACAGAATAAATGTTTGTATGCTTATCACTGAGATTTATCAAGATAGTAAGTGATACAATAAAATGTTTTGTTAGTAACAAAACCTAGTCATGCCACCATTAGTGTCTTATAAGTTTTTTTAAAAAGCAATGTATTTTTCTTCTACAATATTTCCTGTTGTTTTCTATTTTTCACTGTCAATATATTTATTTTTACATTAATAACATATTATTTGCTGATCAAAGAGCCAATGCCATTTACTTTTATTAAGATCCTTAGTATTTTAATATATTCTGTTCTCAAGTATCCACTGACTGCTCCATACTGTCCTCTCTTTCAAAATTGCATAGAAATTATATGGAAATAAATAAAATTACAGAGTTAAAAGTGTAGTCTATTAATCCAACCACTTAGCCAGATGTCCATTCATCATTGTATTTATTTATTTATTTCGCTAGTTAACAGGTGTATCAAGCACGTATAATGTGCCCATCATGGTCCAGGTGCTGAGAATGCAATGAAAACAACATAGACAGAAATTCTTGCACCCTGGGAAGTATATACTTTTCATCTTGTCTATGAAGCATAAACTTTAATTTCTACTACATAAAAGGTATTCCTAAAGTTCCATCAAAAGATTTATTTAATTTTCTAACCTACCATGAAGTTACATTTTAATTTTAACTTAAATTTCTCTTCATTTTAATTACTTAATTTCTCTGTTGTGATGTCTCAGTGTGAGAAAACAAGAGTAAATTACAGATCGACCGAGAGCACATTGGCAATTTGTGTTTTTAAAAGACAATTTACCAAATGGATAATAGTAGACTGAAACATTCAAAATAATTTCATGTTATTTTCCTAGTAAAATTATCCACTTCATTTTTTACTTGAAGTAATGAAGATAAACACTTCATTTTTTAAGAGAAATGGTTATTTACCTGAGTGATAGTTTTTGCAGTGAAATTGAATTAGCGTGCCTTTGTTATGTCTCAAGAAAGCAGTTTGAAAAATTGAATACTTTTTCGGAAACCTTTGGGTACTCAAAGGCATTTCAAAAGATGGGGAAGGAGAATTCTAATAACTAGGTACACACAGAGAAGACAATAGAAATGTTAACAGATCAATATAGACTGAAATATGGTTCATAATTAATAATATCAAGATGTTTAATATTAGACTGTTTCCATTTTCATTCAGATTCCATTCATAAAGCATCTCTTTAGAAAAACTGTCATTATTTTATCTCCACCCTACATGAAAGTGTGACTGACAGTGTATAAAAACCTAAAAATGAAAGTCAAAACAATAAAGATATTAGAAGAAAATATGGTGAAATGTCCAATTGGGCATGAAAGTAGTTTCGTTTAGTATTTAAGTTGCAATTCTTTAATGCTAAATTAAAAATAGAGATTAAAATCTTCTGCATATTGATGGAATTTAGTGCAGAGGTGTTTTTAAATCTATGAATGATGAATGATTTCAGATCTCCTTGGCATAAAATATGTTTTCCTTTAGCAAAATAATAATATACATAAAGTGCATGATCAGTGGGTGTTTGCTTTCATATCATTTCCTTCATTACTATTTTGCAAGAAAAATAAAATACATAGGTCCTGAAACCTGCTGAGAAGCTTGTTTTGTCCTGAATATATAACAGTATATTTAGTGCACTATGGCTTCACTATTATTAATAGTACTGTAGAGTGTGTAAGACTTATAGTATCTTCTTAAGTCCTTAACTTACTACCAGGTAGTGCCTTAGGCCACCTGGAGATAAAACTCCCCATGGTGTGATACTACAAAATTTACTATGAACCATCATATTTTAGGAAATACATTACAAAATTCCAAATGCTTGAGATTAAAATGATAAGATGGGAAATCAAAGATAACAAAGGAAATTGTTAGATGCCTTTAGCTGATCTAACAATAATGAACACAATACAACAAAATACTATCAGATAGGATTGAAAATCAGCAGAAGTGATAAATGATGGAGGAAAACTTAGATGAAACTGAGAATTGTGTCTAGGGTAAAATGCTTGCTATTCAGACCAACCAAGTGTGCTGATTAAAATTGTGATAAGTTGGGCATGGTGGCATGCACCTGTAGTTAAAGCTACTTGAGAGGCTGAGGCAGGAGGATCACTTTTACCCAAGAGTTTGAGGCTGCAGTGAGCCATAATCATACCACTGTACTCCAGCCTGAGCAATGGAGCAAGATCCCTTTCTGAAAAATAAAATAACATAAATTATGGGAGCAATTTGGTCCTGCAGTGTTAAAGATAGAGGTAAAAAAAAAAAAGCTAGCATGAATAGTTAAATGATTCAGCATTTCCATTAGTTTCCTATTGCTGCTGTAACAAATTACCACAAATGTAATGGTTTAAAATAACAGAAATCTATTGACTAACGGTTCTGAAAGTCAGAAGTTTAAAATGGATTTGATGTGTCCAAAAACAAAGTGTTAGCAGGACTGCATTTTCTTTGGAAGGCTGTAAGGAAAAATCAATTTCCTTGACTTTTCAGCTTCTAGAGTTACAGCTGTTACATTCCTAGGCTCATGGCACCTTTCTTCATCTTCAAAGACAGCAGCATAGCATCCTCAAATCTCTCTCTTTTTCTATCCCTCTGTTTCTGTGGTACCCTCGCTTTCTCTCTTCTGTGGTCAAATTTTGTTCTGTTTTCCTTTTATAAGGACACATATGATTACATTTAGAGCCCACTGGGATAACACAGGATAGTCTCCTCACCTTGAAAGAATTTAATCACATATGCAAAATTTCCTATGCCACATAAACACACATTTATAGGTTCTGGGGATTAGGATCCAGATATTTTGGGGAGCTATTTTTCAGCCTATCACAATTCCAAGACAAAATCATTTATTTAAGATAAAAACAGATTCTTGTGTCGAAACTAAGGAGAACATGTCTGTTAACCCACACAATGAACACATGACAAAAAATATAAGATCTTTAACTTGGAAAGTATCCACAAAGTAAAAGCCAAAAAATTTAATTAACCTCTTTTATAAAGTTTACCTTGTGATACAATGATTGTGGAATGTCAAAGAACAATGTAGGTTTTAAAAAATCATTTTAAAGGTTTCTGTCTGTGCATATATCATATATATTGCTTATAAGCATATATATTGGCTTAAGTAAGAGAAAGTTTGGTAAGGATTCTTCCAAAACATAAATTTAATAAATTAAGTTAATAATTAAATTAGAGAAGAACTAAAGGTATTCTTTCTAAGGTGATGGCCACATGCTTTTAACATTGGAATGAATGTTGAGCTAAATATTATTTAATGATACTTGGTTTTATTATAAATATAATTGACATTCTCACTCAGGAATGAAAGGAACATGAGCATATTTATTATAAGACTGCATAAACAGAATATAATTTCCAAATTTCCAAATCCTAAAAATATGAGAACTATTTATTTATTGTTCTGTTTTCATTTTAAGTGGAATATTTTGACTTTGTATAAGTCATATTCTCCTGTGCTTGATATGTAACCATGTCTTAGAAGCAACATACTCTAAGGTTAAGGTCTTTTCCTAAGGAAACATTTAGGATAACAATATAATAGACCCACAATTTCAGACACTTTATTGAGATATATTTTCCATATATGCATGTATGTTTTGTGCGTGTCTATCTATAGATGATATTAATATTTTCATTTTTGCTTCTCTTCAATAAAATTACAACCCCAAATTTTACATGACACAACATAGGTGAGTTTGATTCAAGAAAGATTATGTAGAACACCAGTCATTAAATCAATATTTAAGCAAAATTGCCTCTCTGCATCTTGCATAAAAGGATTGACAAGTGGGAATAAAATTGTATGGCTTCATGTCTTTGGTCGTAATTGTTCTAACAACTTGTTACAAAAGTGAAAATAATAGATGAAGATCCCATTATTTTTGTAACTTATATTCTACTGAGGCAAAGGAAAATAAGCAAAGTAAATTACATACATTAGCAAAATAATTGCTGTGAAAGAGAGTGGAGTAAAGAATGAGAAAAGGGATCAGAAATATAACTACTTTGTTGAAATTTTAAACAGTTTGGAGAGGGTAGACTTCATTGAGAAGGTGATATTTGAATAAAATTGTAGATGTCATTAAATATCTGAAGGAAGAGTATTCCAGAGAATAGCCAAGGCAAAGACAGGATATTGTTAGTTGTATCTGAAAAACAGCAAGGAGGTCAATGTAGCTGGAGCTAAAAGAGAATTGTAGGAGATGGTTTATGTTATGTCTTAGTCGTGTGAGCTGCTTTACAAAAGTACCATAGACTGGGAGGCTTAAGCAACAGAAATTTATTGTTCACATTTCTGAAAGCTGAAATCAGTGTGCCAGCATGGTCAAATTCTAGTAAAGACCCTTTTCCAGGATGCAGAATGCTGACATCTCATCTATGGCCTTACCACCCTTATGTGCCTGATGTTGTCTGACCTCAGAAGCTAAGCAGGGTTGGGTCTGGTTAGTACGTGGATGGGAGAATGACTGCACCTCCTTGTGTTCTCACGATAGTGCAAAGAAAGTGAGAGAGCTCTTTGTGGTCCTTTGTGTAAGGGCATGAATCCCGTTCATGAGGGCTCCAACCTCATGACCTAATTACTTCACAAAGCCCCAGATACCATCATATTGGAGAATGGGATTTCAACATGTTAATTTAGGATGCATGTAAACATTCAGTCCATTGAAAAACATAAGTTTTAAGATATACTTATATCATTTTCAGTTTTCCTTATGTAGGATATTATTTTTGGACATATAGGCTATTCAGGCTTTTTGTATGTTTGTATCGTTTTGTTTTTTAGATGGAATCTCTGTTGCCCAGGCTGGAGTGCAGTGGCACAATTTTGGCTCACTGCAACCTCCACCTCCTGGGTTCAAGCAATTCTTCTTCTGGAGCCTCCCAAGTAGCTGGGATTACAGGCATGTGCTGCCATACCCAGCTAATTTTTGTATTTTTTAAGTAGAGATGGTGTTTCGCCATCTTGGCCAGGCTGGTCTTGAACTCCTGACCTCAGGTGATCTGCCTGCCTCGGCCTCTCAAAGTGCTAGGATTACAGGCTTGAGCCACGGCACCCAGCCCACTATTCAGTCTTAAATACTTTTTTTTTTTTTTTTGCTTCTCTGTTCTGTTACTTTAAGTTTCTAGAAAAAAAAGAGTGTCATAACATTTTTTTTTATCCTCAACAGGTAGCATAGAGATGGATGAAAAATACACCTCAATGCATAAGGGTTGCCAAATGGAATAAATGAAAATATAAAACTTACCAGTAAGAACTCAAGGAAAGTATTATCTTTCAATTTGTTTTTTACCAACAGTTTAGCAAGAGCAATCATGTTTCTACATTCTAAATTTAAGCAGAGTCCACTGTTCATTTTCCTCATTGGGATAAAATTACTACAAACTTGACATTACTTAAATGTATTTAATTTATTACATACCTTCCTGAAAAGGAAGGTACACTTGGCTGTGTAATAGTAATTATATTTTAATATCAAAGTAGTTTCTTTTATGGTTCACCAAGTTAAGAGCCAAGTTCAGTAACTCATAGGTAAATACAATCTCTGTCTTAAGTTTATTGAAGTTCTTGTAGATAAAATATTTCTACTTATATACCCACCTAGTATCATTTCTATAATATTTGTTAATAGTAAACTTTTTTCATAAAATATTGTATAACAAATAATAAATTAGTTATTCATATATATTCAACATTGAAGAACAGTTGGTTTTCACAAATTCTGGTTAGAGTAACTTTCTACTCATGAATGCTGTAAAATATTTCATTTCACAATTGCAACAAATTTAACCTTTTTTTTACTTTATCTGCAAACATACCTGAAGCTGAAATTGCATTCAATATGCATTTTAGGTAGAATGTGTGATAAAAAGAACATATAATTTAAACCTAGAAAGAGTTGGATTCAAATGTTTGCTGTACTACTAATTTCTATTTGAAACGGGAATTTGTATATGTGTGTATTTATTTTCACAATGTAAAATAAGAATCATGATAATCAACATATTGGAAAGTTTTGTAGGCTAGCATGACAAAATTGTTTATATAGCACATTTTAAACTAATATTACTGCATTTTCTAACTACGTTTCTATGAAGTTTTCAGTCTGGAAGCTAGAAGAACTTTAATATCCTAATATATATTTAGTGATACACTATTTCTATATTCTTAAATTATTTTAAATAATTGAATACCCTTTAACAATCTACCCAGTTATTAGAATACTTTGTTACTTTGTTTTCTTATTTTGTATCTTAACAAATTATATAGCATGTTTACAAATAATGCTACCCACATAGGTGGTGATTCATTAGTTAGACAAATAGAAACGAAAATTATAACATTTAACAAAGGTCTTACATATTTGAAAGTCTTGGGCTCTTGGGCATTTTGGGAGACAAGGGCTTGCAAATATAAAACTAGAAAAAAATTAAAATGAAGAAAACACTCACGTTCTTAGGTGATATATTTAACTTACTGGTAATTTGCTTTATTTATTTTTTGTGTGAAGGGGGATGAGTAGGACATTTTAAAGTAGGGAATTTTTGGCAGTAATTTCTGACTTTCTAAGCAGTAGATATATTGGATTATTTTGTGTGAGAGCTCATACATCATGAAAACATCTATGGTTCATATAGAACATTATTTAAATTTTCATGATAGAATATATTTTAATAGGACAGTTATTTTGCTCACTTTGAAAGTGATAATAAGCTCCTTATGTTATTTTTAACTCTTACCTTTTGTTTCTGCAATACATGTTGAAAAGATCTTTACATATAATACTATCTTGATAATATAAATACAAATGTGTCATAATGTTCTAAAATGGTACTTTGAAGAAACAACTCAATCAATGTGATACATTATTTTAATGGAATGAAAAAAAATCTGTATGATCATTTTAATTCAAGTTGAAATATCATTTGATAAAATTTAACACCCCTTAATAATAGAAAAACAAACAAAAACCAAACAGAAGCAAAAACAAAAACCTGTCAAAAAAATGGGTAAGGCTGAGAGCAGTGGCTCACACCTTTAATACATCACTTTGGGAGGCTGAGGCAAGTGGATTAATTGTGTCCAGGAGTTTGAGATCAGCCTGGTTCTAACGGTAAAACTGCATCTCTATAAAAAATAAATAAATAAATAATTAGGTGTTTGTGGTGGTGCGTGCCTAGTCCCAGCTCCACGAGGGGCTGAGTAGGGAATATCACTTGAGTCTGGAAGGGTTGAGGCTGTAGTGATCTGAGATCGTGCCACTGCACTCCAGCCTGAGTGACAATGTGAGACCCTGTCTCATAAATGCCCAAAACTAGCAAACCAAACAAACTGGGTACAAAAGGACCATACCTCAACACAATGAAAACCATTTATGACAAGCCAACAGCTAGTATCATTTTGAATTGGTAAAACCAAAAGTCTTTCCTCTAAGATCTGTAACAAGACAAAGATGTCCACTTTCACCACTCCTACTCAACACAGTACTGGAATTCCTAGCTAGAGCAATCAGACAAGAGAAATAAATATAGGGCATCCAAACTGGAAAGAAATAAGTCAAATTATTCTTGTTTGCAGATGATCTTATATTTGTAAAACCCTAAAGACTCCACCGTAAAACTATTAGAACTGAAAAAGAAATTCAGTAAAGTTGCAGGACACGAAGTCAACATAAAAAAATCAGTAGAATTTCTATATGCCAACAGCAACCAATTTGGCAAAAAAATCGAGAAAATAATACTACTTATAATAGCTAGAAATAAAATACCTAGGAATTAACTTTAACCAAATAAGTGAAAGATTTCACAATAAAAACCATAAAATAGTGATGCAAGAAATTGAAGAGGACACAAAAAAATGGAAAGATATTCCATGTTGGAAGAATCAATATTGTTAAAATGCCCATACTACTCAAAGTAATCCACAGATTCAATGCAATCCTTATAGCAAAAACAACTCTTTTTTTTTTTTTCTTTTTGAGATGAAGTCTGGCACCATTGCTGGGGCTGGAGTGCAATGGCGCGATCTGGCTCACTGAAACCTCCGCCTCCCGGGTTCACGCGATTCTCCTGCCTCAGTCGCCTGTGTAGCTGGGATTACAGGCGCACACCACCACACCCAGCTAATTTTTTGTATTTTTAGACGGGGTTTCAATCTGTTGGCCAGACTGGTCTTGAACTCCTGACCTCGTGATCTGCCCGCCTCGGCCTCCCAAAGTTCTGGGATTACAGGCATGAGCCACTGTGCCCTGCCCCAGCAAAAACAATTTTAAAATTTATATAGAACCCTCAAAGACCCAGAATAGCCAAAGCCATCTTGAGCAAAACGAACAAATCTGTGGGAATCACGCTACTTGACTTCAAATTACGCTACAGAGCTAAGTAACCGAAAATCATAGTACGGCCATAAAAACAGAAACATAGACCAATAGAACAGAATAGAACAAATATATTTATATACAGTAAACTCATTTTCAACAAAGGTGCCAATAACATACATTGGGGAGAGTACAGTCCTTTCAATAAATAGTGCTGGGTAAAGAGGTTATTCATATGCAGAAGAATAAAATTATACCCCATCTCTCACCATTTAATCTATTTTGATTTTATTTTATTAAAAAATCCATTTTGATTTTTATTAAAAAATTATTAAAGTTTTTAAATAAAAAATCAAAATCAAAATGTATTTGAGACTTATATCCAAGACCTAAAACTATGAAACTACTAAAACAAAACAGTAGGGAAACTCTCCAGGACATTGGTCTGAGCAAAGGTGACAAAGCAAAAATGGACAAATCAAGTTAAAAAGCTTCTACATCACAAAGAAAACATTAAACAAAGTGAAGAGACAACCCACAGAATGGAAGAAAATATTTGCAAACTATATATCTGACCAAAAGTTTAATAAGTAGAATACATAAGGAGCTCAAACAACTCAACAGGAAAAAAAAATCTAATAAGCCAATTTAAAAATGTGCAAAAGATCTGAATACAGATTTCTCCAAAGAAGACTTATAAATGCCAAGCAGGTATATGAAAAGGGTGTTTAACATCATCAATTATCAAAGAAATGCAAATCAAAACTACAATGAGATATGAACTCACCTTAGTTAAAATAGCTTTTATTCAAAAGACAGACAATTATGAATGCTTGCAAGAATGTGGAGAAAGAGGAACTAATGTGTTGGTGGGAATGTAAATCAGTACAATAACTATGAAGAACACTATTGAGGTTCCTCAAGAAACTAAAAGTTGAACTCCCATGTGATCCAGAAATCCCAATTTAGTTAGATACCTAAAAGAAAGGAAATCAGTATCCCTAAGATACATCTGCATTCCTATGTTTGTTGCAGCACTGTTTACAATAGCTAAGATTTGGAAGCAACCTAAGTGTTCATCAACAGATTAAATCAATGGGTTTACAATGCATAAAAATATAAAAGGATATTTTATATTTATAAATGTTTATCTTGGCAAATCCAAAATTTTCAAATATAAATGAAATAGAATAATTTACATATACAATAGGATTCAAATGCAATATTGTAAATTAAACATTTCCAATATTTTGAATTACGGTAATCATATGTAGAAATTACATAAATTTTCTATGTAAATTCTAGTTGCGTCTAACAAAAATAAGCTCATACTATACATCACAATGCAATATGTTTTTAAAATTATTACATAATTTGTAACAGAAAATTCAAATTTATATATGTATGTATATATATTTAATATATAATTTCTCTATGCATATTATGTGTAAGTTACATCTATATGATTTATGTATTTATAGCATGCATTGTCTTCTAGTGGTTTAAATGAACTCAAGTTTTATTAATATATATTTTGTGTTAGAATGTGAACTTCACAGATTTAGTTTTGTACATTTTACATTGAACACTACTATTAAAAATATTAAAAATATGTTTGTAGACTGCAATTACTAGAAAACTCTATTTTAGATGCAAGCAGAAATGAAACAACAGGCTTCTAGGGGGATTTTCTTAATAATGCTGCATGCTTCTAATATCATATCCTAAAGCCAGGAAAAGCATTATGTTCTCTTTAAATATTGTAAAAATGAAAAACTTTCCAATCTTTAAATTCACACGTGGCTCTCAAAATCCCAAACAAATTCTTTATTATGAAGCATTAAATTCAGATACAAGCATATTTGTAGGGATTCTTGGAAGTAAGATTTTTTTTTCATAATTGAAAATTATCAAGTGTTTTCAACTTACTTTATCATCTGTCCTTCTGCTTTTGACCTACTCTGTTGGTCATTTGGGCTCTGTCGAGAATCTTCCAGAAGGCATCATCATCCTACCAGATGGGGGTCAGCTTGAAAATCCCAATTGCAGCTGTGTTCAAACAGACCATGGCAGACACTGTTGACAAGTCCCCTCTTTTACAAATTTCATGGCATTCTGATGACTCTGACTGCAGCTGCTCTTTGGCTTATACTTTCAAGAAAGATATGTCTCACATCTTTATAACATAATATTATTGTTATAGTCTTCTACATACTATCAAACAGGCATTTTCATTTCTGCACTGATGGCTTTCAAAGTTTTTGTTTTCTAAGCATGTGCATCTTATTCATTTTATAATATTTTATAGTTGCCATTTAACAAAACACACCAAAGAAAATTATGTTTTCATTTCTATGTGCAATTCAAAGCTGAGAGTATGAATCTCAGTTCAAAATTCTCATTTGGTTACATATATTTGATGAATTTTTAAAGATGGAATTTCTCTGGTTTGAAAAATTGATGCCAAAAACTAAAGTATACAATTTCATAATCACATAATTGTGATAATAGACACATTTTAATGGAATGTTTTATAGTTATCTAGAACTACATTAAGCATATAGTTAGGCTATAGTTGTCACATTATTTCTAACTTAGTTACAAAAACAAGATAACAATGAAACAAAGGAAAATAACATGAAGAAGCATATGCTATGTCATAAATTATGTGATATAATGAGTGAAGTAACAATGCTGAGAAAGTTTGATGATGTAAATTCTAAAAAATTATTTCATATATGTATTTTATTGAATCCCATCATATCTGCTCCATTATATTATTTGAGGTTTAATTGTTGTCTTTCTTGAAGATTTTCATATTCTTAGGATGAGACATTTTATTTTCATCATCATAAATATTGCAAATGATCTGGTAAGAGCTGAATGACAATCCTACAGAAGACAATGGCTGAATGTAGCTGTGGAAATCAGTATCAAAGACAAGAAAAGGAATAGGAGTAAGGAGAGAGCCCCAAATCTTAAAACAGAAAGTAAGCATAGATTGATTTCAAATGTGAAAACAGGGATTAGACACAAATGTAGATAGGGAAGTTACATTCACAAAAGTTGTAATATATCCAAGATAGAGTAAGAATTAGAACACATCAAAAAAGACAAAATATGACATATGCAACAAAGAAGGAAGACTGTGGGATGAACCTGTATTATATCTTACCCTGCTTTACTTCTTACCAGCACTTAGAATGTCAACCACCTTCCTGAATATCTGCTTGCCTATCTCCAAATGAAATTATAATATTTTAAAATAGGTTTGTTGTGAAAATTAAATGATAGTTAATATAATGAGCAAGAAAAAAACTAAATATATAGAAACACTACAATGCATATTAGTTAAAATTGTTTAAGTAAATTGGAGATTTCAGTAGGATGCAAGACTCTTCTATGAAAATAATCAAGTTAAATAAAGAAAAATAAAAAGTCCTTCTATCTGTGCATCCATGAAGAAGGGACTGAATAAGCCAGTGCATGGCCCATGATAGTAACTTAATATGTGTTAAATAATAGTTGAACAAATGAATAGTAGGGCCGAATTGCCATAAAAATCTTTGTAAAAATAGAGTACTATCCTGCTTCAGATCCCTCCAGGTTATCTGGGAATATTGAGGATATTGTGGAAGTATGTTTTGTTTTGGATTATTGAGATATATAGATACACCTTGCATTACTGAATGAAAGGCACAGTAACCCAAAATCTTCAGCACCATAACACACCTCATTGAACTATTTATGAGTTCGCATGTTGTGAGTGGCCTCCCACCTCTTTATACCCAAACATTTTGGATTTCTCCTTAAATTTTCAGAGTTGGATGAGGGATGTTGTGTGAAATGTGGTATCTATGTATGTTGGTCCATTTTAGCCACTTGATTCCAAAAACAAAGGAGCATGGATGTTGCATTGCATCTTATGGACAAATGTTAATTATTTCCAAGGCTTGGAATGGCCCTTACAAGTAGCATTCCCATTTCCAGCTTGGTAGAAGGTGTAGATTTTTAAAGGAGAGAGAGAGATATGGACATCAGATCTTACTTGGAGGATCTCTATAGGATCTACACACTATCAGTGTATTTTGAAAATATTCTGTGTATTTTCATATTAAGTATTTCATTGAAGCACTCTAAATTACAAATGTTCAAATGCTGTCTATGTCCTATGTGGTGCTTTTGTAGCTTTTTATTCTTAACATACAATGTGAGAACTAAAATAAACTTGTCGTTTCTTTCTACTTTTCCTATAGACCATGTATGTGTCCCTCACAGACGGATCTGAGATCAACTCCTCCATTTGTTGCCTCTTGCTGGAAGGCAGCCCTTTTGAGTGGGGCCTTTTCAAGACATTTCCAACTTGAGTACTTTGCAGAAGACCCCAATAACCCTCATGAAACGGACCCTTGCCCCATGTTGGTCATCCCATATTGATCCTCCCACCTCTGTTTTTACAGGGAACTGAAGCTCTTCTGACACCTTTCTTTAAAATATACTGGTCACTTAATGTTCTCTATTTAATCAACCTCTTAAATAATCTACAACTATATAAACGTCTCTCCATTCCAGATGTAATGGGTTGAATCCAGCCTTTCCCAAAAGATTTGTTGACATCCTAATGCCCTGTACCTGTAAATGTGATGTTATTTGAAAATAGAATATTCACAGATATAATCAAGTTAAGATGAGGTCATTAGGGTGAACCCTAATCCAATATTACTGGTATTCTAATAAGAAGACAAAAGACATAGACTCATTTGGGCATGGGACTAATTCTGCCCTAGAGCCTTCAGAGACAGCATGACTGTCAACACCTTGATCTCAGGCTTCTTCCCTCCATAGTGGGGAAAGACTAATCTCTGTTGTTTTAACCCATCCACTTTGTGGTACCTTGTTACAATTTTTCTAGTAAACGAATACATGTACCAACTTCTTATTGTCTCTTTCTGGGACACTAGTCCCCTTGCAGATAGTTCACTATACCTATTCGGGCTCCCATATTAGACACACTCCATTCTCTAGACCAGCACTATTCAGTAGAACCTTCTGCAATGAGGAAAACGCTTTAAATCTATGCTATCTAATATGATAGCCAATATCTACATATGGCTATTAACCACTAGAAAATGGACCATTGCAGCTTTATTGGCCAGCACAGTGGCTACAGTATTAGAAAGCACAGTTCTAGAGACTGTAATCATTTCAACCAAATCTGATCATCTCTGCTTATGCTATGCATAGATATCTGCTTATGCTATGCATAAAGGACAAAAGGTATATTGACCCTCCAAGCATTTCTAACAGATGTCCCTCTTTGCCAAGTGTTAATCCACCTCTCTGTCCTTCTACCAGATTTTAAGTACACAATGCTCCATTCCATCTTCAGCTCTTTACCCATCCATACTTATGTTGACGATCTCTCTTCCCTACATTACTTTGCCCCTCTTTATCCTTTAGATATCAGTTTATTGTCACTACTCTGATATCTCAAACTAAACCATATCCATTCATAATATGCTGTCATCTACTACCCTCTTTTATTGTACTTATCAAAGCTAGTTTATCTTTGGTGTAACTGCATTTTTAATGCTTCCCTCAATAAATATAATGCCACATTATCCAAAAAAAATTTCTGTTCTTGGTCCACCATAAAAATGAAACATGCCTGTCATATGGCAGGCATTTTAATTATTGGTTGGGAAAATTAGTGAAGTCATCTTGACATGACATGTAATTAATAATAATTAATATTATTACATTGAATAAGTAATTATCCAACTTTTAAAATCTAGAAAGACATGGTGCTCAGGTTTAAAATGGAATCTAGCTAATTCATCCACTACTGATTGTCACTACAAAAATCTATGCAGATACAGAGAAAGGCACACATCTCAATAGCATTGGAGGCTAAAACACATAAGCAATTAATATCAAAATCTGGGAAGAATTGCCACTAATTAAAAAGCAGATGGAATGGGATTGAGATAAACCCAAACTAGGCATTTGCTTTTGGCATACCCTGGCTTTACTTTACAAAAGACAGACCATATTAAATAGGTATGAAGGTACTTCATGCCTCTTCAACCATCTGTCCACTGACTCTAATATCTGGTGTATTTCTATGTAGAAAACCTGACCTATTTCATTATTCTGTGATGTAGATAACTGCTTTCTCTTCACTTCAAATGTTATATTTGATATTGGATAATCAAAATGTTGCTTTAAATATAATAACTTCATTTAATCAGTTAATTGAAAAACTGATGATAACATTCAGCATTATGGAAATTTGTAGCAATAAACAGTAATTTTGCGGGTATGAAAATATTTTGAGAGAAAGGTACTATATGTGGTCTGTGGTGTAGGGATTACAGAGGAAGAGTAATGGAAACAGTAGTAAAAGTTATGGGTCAATATTTTCTATATGTTCTGCCTATGAAGAGTAAAAAAAGATTCATGAAGTGAGGATGGAAACAAGACACAAGTGAATAGAACAGTGGGTGAAAACTGCTATAAAATGGACATTAGACCAGGAACTACTTACATTTACTGTCAAGATGAAAATATGATTTAAATAATACAGCAGGCATTGAGCTTCTCCATATTCATATTCTCATATTGTTTGTTACTTGGACTTAAGTGACCAGGTAACAAACAATATGAATTTCATGAGACAAAGAGCTTACTATACATTTCATTTCCCCCATGAACCTTTTGTCTTGAACATATTCATCAATTTTGGCAACCCTGGCCTTATTTAATTGTCTTATATTACATGCTCTATTATTCAAAATAAACTGTGATATATAGTAAGTACTTGGACACATGTTTTGAATTCACAAAATTGGCAGTAATGATAAAAGAAAGTTGATCAGAAAAAAACAAGTAATACGTAAAAGGGAAGGGTAAATGAGTCTGAAAGAATCAGAAGACGCAGATACTTCCAAAAGTCATTGGACACTGGAGACTGTCATAGTCAAAATAGTACAGAAGTATTTTATCTCTGTGAAAATGCAGTATGTTGAGAAAGAGAGATGACTGAAGGGAAGAAAGCTTGTGAGTGATCTGAGACACAGCAGAAGCTGGTAGAAACAGCAGAACTGAGAAAACTAGTCTTTAGATTGAAAAGAACTGATTTTGTGGAAAAAAATCAAGTGAATGCTATGAAAGGCAGATTGGAATAGTATTTTTAGAACAGAGAGGAATAGTACAAAGGGAAAATTATGATGAGAAAGAAAATTATATACAAGAACAGGAAACAGGAGCCAGTATGTAGAATATTATTATTCAGATGGGAAAACTCAGAAATAAACAACAACAACAACAAATCAAAACATTCACAATATATGTGGTATGAATCCTTTTCATGTGTAATGAAAACATTGTATGCCGATTACTAGGTTGTAATTAGATAACCATAATCCAAGCAACTATAATAAAAGGCAAATAAACTAGGCACACCCTAGGAATACGACAGATTATAACCATAAAGTAAAAAAATACAAAAATTGAAAATCAGATAAAGTTGCATCCAGAGAGATAAAAAATATTTCTAATTTGAGATTACACTGCGACACCAAATGCTACTAAAGTGGAATTCTGAGGGAAAAATTTTACAGTTTCAAGGGCTAATTTTGCAATTCCCCAATTTCTTATCTTATTCAGTTATAAGAATATTAAAATATATTTTAATGAAAATATCTTCAGATGTAAGACCTCCTGAATGTATATGTTATAAACTCCAGAGTGTCCATTACAGAAATACAACATGAAAACTAAACGTCTACTTTTGAAAATATCCTATTTTCAAATTATCTTCTCTGTTTTTTTCTTTTCTTTGTTGTTATTTCTTTGCTTTCTCTTTTCTGTCTGTTCTTGGAAAGAAAACTAAAATAAACACTGTAAATTTGATGAAATATTATATAATTTGAACGCTGACTGTAAACTTTCTAAAATTATTTGGTGAGTTTTCCATTTATACTGTGCTCTAATTCAGTCTAAATTCCAATCAATGATCATAAAATTTGGCAAAACTACAAGCTGTCCTTATAATCATTACATGTAATACACAAACTTACATGATAAAGTTAACAAGAAAATGTCATAATTTTAGTTTCAGTAAATCATGTTTTAAAAAAGAATAAGAAGAAAGACTCAAAAAGAGGTAAAATTTTGCATATACTCATATATTTACCATTTCTGATGCTTGCTTCTCTTTTCTGGTATCGGAAAAGAAAGTGTCTTGGCAACAGATTTTCTTAGTTTATTTCTATTAAAAAAGTCTTTATTTTGCCTTCAATCATGAATGATATTATCACTGAGAACAGAAGTCTGGGTTGACAGTTTTGTTTTGTGGGGGTTTTTTCCCCCTTTTTGTCTTTGAGCAATTTAAGGATGTCCAATCCTCTTCTGTCCTCCATCACTCTCATTTCAGTCATTAATTGCATTGATGTTTCGTTGTATGTTATAGGTCATCTGTCTTTTACTGCTATCAAAATTCACTCTGTATATCTAACTGACTGGCTTGACTATGCTGTGTCTGGGTGTGGCTGATTCTTGGGGTTTATTTTCATGGTCTTTAAAAATATCTATGTAAAAGTTATGGATTTTACAAGTATGGGTAATTTTCAGCCATGATATCTTTAAGTTCTTTGGTTTTTTTTCTTCTGTCCTATTCTCACAGCCATTCCTGTTTCATGTACTTTTGATCATATGTTACCATCTAACATCACCTTGATACTCTAGTTATTATGATTATTTGTAATATTATTCCTATTATTCATTTTGGAAAACTTATATTGTTCTACCATTGTTTGTTTACTCTTTCTTCTGAAATGTTCATACAGCTATTAAGTTGAGCCAATATATATTTAATTTCATGAGTTTATTTCTCACTTCTAGGGTCTCCGTTTGTTTTTTAAAGTTTATATTTGAGAGAAAATATAAAGTACTTGATTTGGAAAGATAAAAATCTAAACTTTTACTTTCCTGTTTTTCTTTAAAAAAATTGAAATAAAATACATGCTCATGTATGATCTTCAGAAGAGGTTATGAGTGGTTGCTTTTCATACATTGATGTTTTTATGTTGGTAAATTAGAAAAGTCCTTAGCTACATAATCGAAACCACGGACAACTTATTCTAGTAAAATCACCTGGATTCAAAAATGAATACATAAATTCATTATGTACTTTGATATCATGAATCCAGTTATGATTGTCTTCTTGATTCCTCTCAATAACTCCCACCAAATATGAGATTGGAAAGTATCTAACATTTAATAAATCATAATCTAAGGCAATTTCATATGATAATTCAATGGGTTGTAGAAATTTTCTCCTTTCATAGAGGAGAAAGTTATTACTTCATAATTTGAAGCAACATTTTGTTAAGACTATCACACACACACACGCAATTTCTGTGGGTTGAAAACATTAAAAGTTATTTATAGCAGGATTCAGGGCTACCAAGAGTTATAAATAAGTAAATATGAATTATATTTTTCAAGCTTCATTAATCAAGTATTTTTCCAAGAACATTTAATGATGGGCCTAGTATAAACACAGCTTTTCTTTGTTGAAAACTAGTTAACAATCATTTCTCCTCTTATAATACTAAAAATGGAAGAAAAACACATGAATCACTTTCTGAAAAATTACCAATGACTTAAAAACAAGTATTTCCATAATAATAGATATTTTGGTGTCTTTTTTCTGGTTCTGTGGATTGTTTAGCTATTTGAAATGTGTGAATACTTAGTTTTAGTTCATATTCTGAAGACAAAATACCTTACATTTATAGCTTCTTGAGTCTAAAGTAAGAAAACCTTCCAGTAATATTGCATGCGTAACAGTGACATTTATAAGAGAGCATTTAAAAATATCCTCTTTCAACTTGTTGATATTGCATTGTAAGGGTATGAAGCCTGTCACTGTCACAACCATATTTTGATAATGAGAGTGGTAGGAAGAAACACAGTAAGAAGGGCTGAGCTGAAAGCTAAAAATCCCTTGTTTTCTTAAAGTCATAATTAAGCCATTGATTTGGTTGAACTTTGAAATATATTACTTTAGGGCTTTAGAGTTTTCCTAATTTTTTAGGCCATTTTACTTCAGAGTTTCTCTCTTTAAAGTCAAAACAATCAGATAAATTTGACTTTTTAAAAATATTTTGCCAAATAACACAGACCAGCAGAATAAAACAAGGAAAATAGTAGGAAAAAGCAGGAGATTATGCAAAATAGATAGAATTATCAGAGAAAAACTGTGTGGGTCTATCCGTCTGTGTGTGTGTTAGAAAAAAATAAAAAGAAAAGAAAACTATAAGACAAGCCACTTTCTCTTCTCATTCATTAATATGATTGAACAGGCCTGTTTATGACTAGAGTCTTTTGCTAAGGGCTGCAACAAATGCCTAATAGCCTTGAGATAGGACTCTTAGGTATGTTATTATTATTATTATTTTAAAGCTATTCCCCTTCATTGCGCTGTTGGCAGTGGTGTCTAAAGATTACCTCTGTACTTATCACCAAAAATTGGATTCTAAAAATCAGACTTATCTTTGTTCATATTACGGGAATAAAACAAAGGATTGCATGTTGCTTGCACTAGTAAATGTTCACTGTACTTAAGTCCTCTATACTTGATAGTGCCATTCAATTATTTCTTTTTGTCCTCTTTCTATTTAACCAGATAAATCCCTTCTTATATACAAGTAATATTATGAGTATTCATTCATTCACTTAACAGAGGATTTCTTTGGTCTTTGTGTGTGTGTGTGTGTGTGTATATATATATATATATACACACACAAAATAAACATATATATATATACACAAAACATTTATACACACAAAATAAACACATTTGAAAGACATATATATATTTCAATATATATATATATCACATATCCCACACATATATGGGATATGTATGTATATATACATCTTTAAATGTTCAATGAAAGAATATCCTATATGACTTTTAGGTTTTGCAGTCTTAGACTTATGACTTTTTATTGTGTCGGTGTGATATTAATACCTCATACCCTTAACTTTATTAAAATTGACAAACAGGTTTTTCTTCTTTATGGCTTTTTTAAACTTTTACTTAAATTTCCATACAAAGTGTTGGCAAAAAAGGCACAATAATTACGTTGCCATATCCATTCACATAATCTCCATTCTTAGAATGTTCCAGCCCAACATGATATCCTTCAGGATTTGACATCTCAGGGAAGCAAAGGGCTGCATTCATCAGTGAGATATAGAAAATGAAACTTTTAATCAGTAAATTGCACTTCAGTCATCCACTCCATCATTTCTAAAGGGCTGGGCTGCTAATTTACATTTTGGTGTATATAGTATTATGATAAAGCAGCAGATAATGACACTAATTATTATGTGCATAAGGCAGAAGGAATTTACCACTTGCACTAGGAACAAAAATCAAAATACATAATGAGTTTCAGCTCAGAGTTTATAGTCACTTGTGTCCTTCTTGAAGAAGCCAAACTGTTCTTCCACATAGGTAAATTAAATAGCAGCTCTTTTTATTTCATTTAATTAAAATGTTAAAAATAAACATATTTGAAATGGTAAAAACTGAAAAAATACCAAAGCACAGTGAGAATTGTATCTGTTTACTACAGATTTTGCTTTGGCACCCTGCCTGCATAAATTAACTAACCTGCTTTCAGGAAAATTACAAAAGGGTTAGATTATATTACATGCATGATTCCTATAAACGTACACAGTAATTATAATGAAACTGGGGAAACCAGCCACTTTGGCTGATAGTATCAAGTAATATTAAACAAGTGATAATTTTCTTAAGATGAAATTCATATCTGACAATTTAAATTTTTCAGCATGTTATTTTAATATTTGGAAAAAGAAACTTGAAAGATAAATTGTTTTTTTTTTCTTGATTTCAAGTATAAAGTTTAATGCTGTGTAGACTCTTTAAAAAGGTGAAAATAAAACAACGATGTCTAAAATGTTTTGTCTGCAAACAGATTTAACATTGTGTTCAATAATTTGAAGAATAAAGTGAAAATCTTGCTCAGAATGAGAGACAAATACAAGGATTCACTTAAACAGGTATTTTGATGGTTCCACTTATGCATTTGTTTATATGGTGTTTGGGGTTAGATTATGACACCACAAAATTCTTACATTGAAATTCTAACCCCAACTACCACACAGAGTGACCTTATTTGGAAATAGAGTCTTTATGAAGACAATTAAGATGTGGTCATTACAGTGGGCTCTAATACGATTTGACTGGTGTCCTTGTAAGAAGGGGAAATTTGAACATAGACACATACATAGATAGGGAAGGAAATGCGAAGACACACAGAAAGATGACCATCTTACAAGCCAACAAGAGAGGTCTTAAGCAGATCCTCTCACAATCTCAGAAGGCACCAACACTGCCAACATTTCACTCTCTGACTTCCAGCCTCCAGAAGTGTGAGACATAATTTTCTGTTTAAGGCGCCTGATTAATAATAATTTGTTGCAGCAGCCACGGCAAACGGAAACATTTGGGTTTCTAAAGACGGAAGCAGCTGGGCGCGGAGACTCAGGACTGTAATCCCAGCACTTTGGGAGGCCGAGGCAGGCGAATCATGAGGTCAGGAGATCCAGGACCATCCTGGATAACACAGTGAAACCCCATCTCTACTAAAAATACAAAATATTAGCTGGGCATGGTGGCGGGCGCCTGCCTGTAGTCTCAGTTACTCTGGAGGCTGACGCAGGAGAATCACTTAAACCAGGGAGGCGGAGGTTGCAGTGAGCTGAGATCACACCACTGCACTCCAGCTAGCATGACAGAGCGAGACTCCGTCTCAAAAAGAAATAATAATAAAATAAAGAAGGATGCTCTGAAAAGGGAAAGGAGAAAAGGGAGGCATTTGTGGAGTAGGTGCTCATCACTTTCTCAAGGATATTTACAAATGTAATCATATTTACCGCACAGAATCCTCGTAAAAGTGACTTAACTTCCTGACAGAGCATGAGCACCATCATCTCTGACAAACACTCCCTTTCTAGCCTCACGCATTTCAAGGAAATCACTTCTAACTACAAGCAGCCAGAAAAGAGCAGACAGTAAAACACAGGTAAGACAGGCTCAGGCACAGAGGAAGGCAGGGAGGAAGTCTCTTGTGTAACTGCCAAACTTCACCCTCATACAATGGGGCCCCAGTAAAACAGTGGGCCTTAATAAGCACATTCCTTTCTCTGCTGGTGCACTCAGATAGGGAAGCTAAAGGCAGACTCAGGGGATATGCCTGAAGCTGCAGAAAGATGTATGGGAACAGACACACAACTCTCCCTCTCAGATAAGCACAACAAAGAGACACAGAAGCAGTCGAAGTCTCTGATAAACTCTCCCACCCTGAATCCTTAAAAACTCTTAGTCTGTAAGAGAGTGCAGCTTCTGACCTAACTTGGTCAGAAGTCCCTCCCAGGTTTGAAATAAACCTGTTGACTATCGAGCCACCCTTCGTGTTTCTCTCCTCCTTCTTTAGTTCTTACTCTTCCACTTTTAAATAGGAGGAAATTGAGGCACACAGAAGGTGAAAAGAACTAAGGTTCAAGCCCAGAAATGACTAATACCCACGCCTGTGTTCTTCCTGCTTCCATTCTGCATCTGCACTCTATCTTAACACAAAGATTGCAATTCCATTTTATTTCCAAAACTAAATAGTATAAATATTAAGAAGGAATTATAGTTCCAGGACATTTTTTAGGCACATGAAAAGTTTTAGAAACACTACATTACTGTATATATTTGTGACTACTATTTGCTACTATAAATCCATTCTTCCCTAAGTGCTAAGTAAAAAAGATCATTAATAAGAACTTTCCTGTTTATGAGGTTATTCTGATGAAAAAAAAATAGTATACACAGTAAAAGAAAGTTACTATTTCTAAGCCTTTTTCTTGTTTTTGAGATGGCGTTTCACTCTTGTTGCCCAAGCTGGAGTACAATGGCAGGATCTCAGGTCACTGCGAACTCCACCTCCCAGGTTCAAGCGATTCTCCTGCTTCAGCCTCCTTAGTAGCTGGGATTACAGGCATGTGCCACCAGGCCCAGCTAATTTTGTATTTTTAGTAGAGACAGGGTTTCTCCGTGTTGGTCAGGTTGGTCTCAAACTCCTGACCTCAGGTGATCCGCCCACCTTGCCTCCCAAAGTGCTGGGATTACAGGCATGAGCCACCGTGCCCGGCCTTCAAAGACACTTTTAGTGAGATAATGTTGAAGTTGAATTTATCCTTCTAAAATTTATATGTTGAACTCTTACACCCCCAGAGTGATTTATTTTGAATTAAGGTCTTTAGGGAAGTAGTGTAGTCACAAGGCTAGCCCCTCATCTGCTATGCCTATTGTCCCCTTAAAAGAGGAAGAGACCCCAGACAGCTCTCTCTCAGCACAAACACAGAGGGAAGGCTACATGAGCACACAGTGAGAAAGTAAGTCAAAATCCAGGAAAAAAAAAAGGTCTTATCAGAAACCAATCTTGATGGCACCTTGATCTTGGACTTCTAGCTTCCAGAACAGTGCAAAAGTAAATTTCTGTTGTTCATAACAGCCAGTCTGTAGCGACTTGCTATGGTGACCCTAGGAGACAAATGCAGCTAGTTATTATTAACCTGTCATATTTAGAATCGTTTATAGGATAGCTGTGTATATCTATATCTGTATTTGTAGCTCATTCTCTCTGTGCCTTTCTCATGGGCTCTATTGTTGGCTTTCTCTCTGTTCCTTTCTTTCTCCTTGTCAGTCTCTTTTGTCCCTCATGTACTGGTTGCTTCGAAGAGGGAATACAACATAAAAATAGGTAATTTTCAGCTTTTTAGGGTAAAACTATATAGTCATCCCTCCGTATCCAGGGGGAATTGGCCACAGAAACCCTTGTGGATACCAAACTCCACAGATGCTCAAGTCTGTGATATAAAGTGGTGTAGTATTTGCATATAACCTATGCACATCCTTCCATATATTTTATATCATCTTTTGATTATTTATACTTAATACAGTGTAAATGCCATGTAAAGAATTTTTGTCCTGTATGATATGTGAAATAATGGCAAGGAAAACAACAGTGTGTAAATGTTCAGTACAAACACAACCATCCATCTGTTTTTAATAATTTTCATTTGCAATTGGTTGAATCTAGGGATGCTTAACCCACAGATAAAGAGAGCTGACTATAGATACTACAGATACTACAAATGATTAGGAACTTCTTCCGTTCAGGGACTACATTTGGGAATCCTAGCAACAGAAATCCCTAAACCTTAATGGGGAATAGCCTATATGGCAGATAACCCTTCTTTATCTATTGTGGTTTAGAACTCATAGAGGCTGCAAAAACCCATATCTAAAATAAATGTAAGGTGTATCTAGACAGAAGTTCCCAAGACATTCTCAGCAAGCTCTACAAGTTTCAACATAGTCACAACAGAGTGACTGGTGTGTGTTCAACTGTAGCATGAAATGTTTTCTGACAGCCCCACCAACTTTTCTAAACACCAGAAAGATTCAAAGAAGTAGCATTGTGAGCATGTACTGAGAGTGACTGAAGAAGAGGAACATCTGGATTCAAAGACACTGTTAAAAAACAAGACAACAATGACTTGTGTGGCTGTCCTAGCAGATGCCAGCTTGACAACATAATGATTGGGAAGAAGATCAGATGCCTACCTTTTTCCTTTCTCTACATATACACAAGCCTGTTATCAAAAGTGAAACAATAGACTGAGATCCAGTTTCCAGCAACTGAAGAAATAGAAACTACAGACATAGTTGGGCTATAGAGCACTGAAGAAAACTATGTTCCTTGCACAGCTGAGTTTGTTGTTTGAGGGTTGTAGGAGAGAAATGGGGAGAGATTTTGCGTATTAATACAAACTAAGATATTAGTATATGTTCACCTGATACGATCTATTTTCAGATGCTTTTTAATATTTTATGTTTTCAGATCTAAGATCTTTTTTTTTTTGAAATGGAGTCTTGCTCTGTCGCCCAGGCTGGAGTGCAGTGGCGCGATCTGGGCTCATCGCAAGCTCCAACTCCAGGGTTCATGCCATTCTCTTGCCCGCCACCACGCCCAGATAATTTTTTGTATTTTTAGGAGAGATGGGGTTTCACCATGTTAGCCAGAATGGTCTCCATCTCCTACTCTTGTGATCCACCCGCCTCAGCCTCCCAAAGTGCTGGGATTACAGACATGAGCCACCACGCCCGACCCAGATTTAAGATCTTAAATTTAGTGTTTTACATCTTTTACCATATCATCTGGTACTGCTATATCTTATCTCCTTCTTAGTTCTCTTTTAACATTTTTTTCATTGTTTCTTATTTGAATTTCTCCATCATGGTCTCTTGTCATTCTAATTTACTTGCAGATTCATCTTGCTAAACTGGACTTCTGAACACCCTTCTAGACAAAATGTTTAGTGTTTATCCTTTAGCTCTAGGTTTAAGTTTTGTAATGTGTGTCATCTACACTTACCTTTGCATGGTAGCCAACACTAAGTGTCCTGTTGATATTCATGCCACAACCAAACTAGACATATCAGGGGTTCTCAAAACTAGGTTTCTACTTTCACCATTTTGAGAAAGCTGTTCATACATTCCTCATGTCTATTTTTTTTCTTTTTCCTGTTTTAAGGCCTAGTTTTAATCATTTGTTCCTTGTAAAACTTTTCTGATTGACTTCTTGTTCAGGATTTCTCTGACCTCACTGTGTTGGACCTGCCTTCCTTCCTGATCTATCAAATTCAAGTTTTGTATTTTTTTCTTTGTACTATACGTATATTTTCTCTCATCTTTTTTCCCCCAGACAATCAATCTCTTTACTTCTTGCAATTACGTATGATTTACCTTGTAGGTAAATTACCGTGTAGGTTTGGATGATACATTTTATTATAAATACATGTTTTTAAATTCATAGATTAATGTATGAGCAACAATGAAAACATTAACTATTCTTTAAAATATATATCGTATATCACACAACACACTGTGCTTTTTTTCTCCTAAAGTTTTTTAGGCGTATTTTTTAACCTATCTAGTTATATCAACACCATTCTACCCAGCGTGGAAACAAATAATGCCAAGTGGTCATTCCACAGAGAACTGCCATTCTATGAAATTATATCATCAATAATAAGAACATATCATATATCTTTGAACATGATTATTCCTGAGAAGTTTTTCTGCCAAGAAGTTACATTTCATAAAATTTCTGCTTTATTGCTTTAATTGGATAAGAAAACTTTATAGTGTTTTATAATGTCAAAAAGAAACACAAAGCAGTACCTCATTAATACCTCTAGCTTTATGAGCAAATATCTACAAATTCCTGACATTTCCTAGACTTTATCCATAGTTCCTTATTCTACTTTCTACAACTCATTCCCTTTATATTTGCTGAGTCTCCACTCTCCTTTGATAGGCAATCCTTGTTACTCCTGGAGCTTTTTTGTGGCTGACCAAGCTTGCAGTGCTTCTTTAAGCAGGCACATGTTATTGTTAATGGTCTTAGTCTTGAAAGTTGAGTTCAAACTCACCTAATTCACCACATTTAAACTTAGATCAGCTTTTCTTGACTTGTAGTATGGTCTCCTGGAAAATTCCATGTTTTATTCCTTATACTTAGCCTTCAGCATTATTTCTCCAGCTAAGAACTGTAAATTTTTCTCTGAATAGAATTTTTAAAAACCTCCACTAATGCTAGATGTGACAAACCATTCTGATCAGGTCTTAAATGTCAGACTGGAAAATAATGGGTCTATGAAAATGGAGAAACTCTTTTTTTAATTATAGTTTAAGTTCTGAGATACATGTGCAGAATGTGCAGGTTTGTTACATAGGTATACCCATGCCATGTTGGTTTGCTGCACCCATCAACCTGTCAGCTACATTAGGTATTTCTCCTAATGCTGTCCCTCCCCTAGCCCCCCACCCCCTGACAGACCCCAGTGTGTGATGTTCCCCTCCCTGGGTCCCTGTGTTCTCATTGTTTGACTCCCACTTATCAGTGAGAATGTGCGGTGTTTGGTTTTCTGTTCCTGTGTTAGTTTGCTGAGAATGATGGTTTCCAGCCTCATCCATGTCCCTGCAAGGGACATGAATTTATCCTTTTTATGGCTGCATAGTATTCCATGGTGTATATGTGCCACATTATCCTTATCCAGTCTATCACTGATGGGCATTTGGATTGGTTCCAAGTCTTTACTATTGTGAACAGTGCCACAATAAACATACATGTGCATGTGTCTTTATAGTAGAATGATTTATAATCCTTTGGGTATATACCCAGTAATGGGATTGCAGGGTCAAATGGTATTTCTTGTTCTAGATCCTTGAGGAATTGCCACAGTGTCTTCCACAATGGTTGAACTAATTTACACTCCCAACAGTGTAAACGCATTCCTATTTCTCCACATCCTCTCCAGCATCTCGTTTCCTGACGTTTTAATGATCGCCATTCTAACTGGCATGAGATGGTATCTCACTGTGGTTTCAATTTGCATTTCTCTAATGACCAGTGATGATGAGCTTTTTTTTTCATGTTTGTTGGCTGCATAAATGTCTTATTTTGAGAAGTGTCTGTTCATATCCTTCACCCACTTTTTGATGAGGTTGTTTGTTTTTTTCTTGTACATTTGTTTAAGTTCCTTGTAGATTCTGGATATTAGCCCTTTGTTAGATGGATAGATTACAAAAATCTTCTCCCATTCTGTAAGTTGCCTGTTCATTCTGATGGTATTTTCTTTCGCTGTGCAGAAGCTCTTTAATTTCATTAGATCCCAATATATTACAGGTTTAGTTGATCCACATGTTTGTTAAATCTTGATTCTGCCATTCTGTTTAATTCAAACAATTGTAATGTTCTCTCCTTATAGTTTTAGCCACCATTTCCCTGATGATTAATAATGTTGGCGAGTCATAGTGCCTTTGTTGTTGATCTCTTAATACTAATTTTTTTGTCTGTTTTCAATTGGAGTGTTTGACATAATATCATTTTGTTGTGACTGTTTATAAAATTCTGTCTTTCTCCTTTTCTCTCTCTTCCTCTCTCTCACACACACACACACACAAACACACACACACATACACACACAGACACAGACAAAACTAATACATTTTCTGCCAGACTATGGTTAGTTTATTTCGTTTATTTTAGTATTTTTTTAAAAGTAAAAGTTTTTCATATCTACCAAGTCCATATATCATCTTTTTTTCTCATTGTCTGCCTTTTTGTATTCTATATTGCCTAATCCAAAGCCATAAATTATTTTGTCCTTTATTGATTTGTGGAAGTTAGTTTTATAATTTTTGCTCTATAATTACTTAGTGAAACAATCTAAATTAGTTTTTTGTATAATGTGAGATAAAAGATGAGCTACTTTTTTTTTACTGATGGGTGTCTAATTATACAAGCATAATTTTTTAAAAAGGCTTGTTCTTTTTTGAAGTATCCTCTCAGAATTATTAAAGAAAATTGAATATACATATATGGACATGTTTCCCAAATCTATTCTGATCTTTTTATGTATACATCTATATTTAAAGAAACAGCCCACTATGTTGATAAATGTAAATTTAAAATATATCTTGCAACAAGGTAGGTTAAAACTTCTAACTTTGTTTCTTGTAACCAATCTCTCTGAAATTCTGTATAAATTTTAAAATCATCTTTTCATTCTCTCTTATAAATCCAACTATGATTGTAATTGGGAATGTGTTTAATGTATGCATCAACATAATGAGAACTGACATAATCATACATTACTTTCAGGACTATGAACCTGAAATAAGTTTACCCATGTATATTTTCTTGAATTTTTCTCTATAGTTTCTTAGTGTTTATTATATAGCACTTTTATATATGTTGTCAAACTGAAATATTTCATATTTCCAATAGTACTATAAAATATACTTACAATGCTACTATAAAATATTTTTTAAAATTATTTCATTTTTAAAATTTTTCTCAGCAAAGTTTTATGGTTTTTATTATATAGCACGTAAGCATATCTTATTTAATTTAAACATAAATCTTTCCTATTAATAATCCTAATATAAAATATTTTTAAAAATTCATTTCAGCTTTTTATTGTGCATATGTAGAAATACAATCAATTTGGTACCCTATTACCTTGCTAAATTCACATATTAGTTCCAACATCTTTTCTATAAATTCCTTTACAGTGTCTGCATAACTTTCATGGATTCTGTAAGCAAATATAAACTTAATTTACTTTGCAAACATATTTGCCATTTATGTATGGATTTTTTTGTTGTTGTTTATTGCACATGCTAGGACCTCCAGTATAATGTTGAATACATAGGTGCTAAATTTTATCAAATGTTTTGTGTCTTTTGTCATGATTCTACATTTTCTCTCTTTTAGTTTCTTAATATGTTGGATGTTATTGCTTGATTTGCATAACAGTTAAACTTACCTTTTATTACTGAGATAAAATGCAATTTACTTTTATATATTATCCTATTAACATGTTTCTCATTTCAATTTGATAGCTTTTTAAAACAATTTGTGAATCTATGTTCACAAGGAATATTAATATTTAGCTATAATTTGTTTCTTTGATTTTCATCTTGAGGCCTTTCTGCTTGTGACATCTTACTCTATCGAGGTAATATCAGGTTGACACTACTTTTGTAAAACAATCTGGAAAATATTTATTCCTCGTTTATTTTCTGGAAGAGTTTTTCTGAGTTTTGCTGGTATTAATTATTTCTTAAATAGCTGGTGTAATTCACTGTTAAAGTCATACAGGCCTGCAGTTTTATTTATAGGAAATATTTTAAATGATAAATTTAACTTTTTAACTTGTGTAGGTATATGCAGGATACCTTTTTTCTTAATTGAGTTTATAAAGATTTCTTGGAAAGTAAATTTTATACTGTTGTTTCATAAATAACTAGCATGATGAACATGAGGGCTTTGAAGGGTTATATATTCTTATTCTTTTTTCTAAGATAAAAAAAAAACTCTGCCATATATTAGTAATCAGGCTTCTTAATCTTGCAGGCATACACTGTTCTGAAATAGAGCTGCTTCTTTTGGGATAGACTCAGATGTACACTGGCTATTAAAGTGGAAAATATCATTTTCCTTAAGCCAGATTGTAGCTATAAATTGCATTTATATTTTTGAACTGAATTTTACAGAAAATCTTATACATTACTATGTTGTTTGGAAAGTACTTCTTCTGATCTTATTTTCTTTATTTTTACTTTATGAGAACTATCCTCCATTTCAAAACATATTTTTGCTTTTTATAACATCCAATCGACGATACATGTATCCATTTTCTCTTTCTCCGTCTAATCCCTAATATAAAGATTCTTATTCCAATTCAACACTATTGCCTATAACATTTTCTAGGCACTTTTGCATATATTGCATCAAATTTCAGTTAGGTCCCCTTGATCAGTTAAGCAACTCCTCAAATAAGTTCATTTCTTTCACTTGTGAGATCATAACTCTAATCAATGGTTGACAATGCCTGTGCTTTAAACAATGTTCCAATTCATGTTATCTTATCTGTTTACATTATGTAGCCAGTTACTTAATTTTTGCATCTATTTCTATTCTAATGTCTAATTTTGAACATTGATGAAGAAATTGCATTTTCAAAATTCTTCCATTATAAATAAAATTTATTCTACCTGCTTTTCAGCCTCAAAGGTTTTGACGTATCAATACTCACCATTCATGTCCACTTACCAGAGGAATTATTAATTTGTACTAAAGTGTGAACCATATGTCGTGCATACTCATTATCTCTGGACCACAAACTATAATCCATTTCAAGTCTCTTCTCAAGATTATTTTAGTTCTTTTCAACAGGGAGTCTGAAATTACTATTGTATATATTTTTGTTATTGTTAGTTCTTTAACTGTGTGTTTGAGAACATCTCTGATATTCAATTTGGTTTCAGTTATGTTTTTCCTCAGGGTTTTTGTGAATATTATGCAATATATTGATTGATACTTAAATGTAAAAATGTTTGAGTTCCTGGTATAAACTCAAATGCAAATAATGTATTTAATCTTTTATATACCACTGGCTCAAGTTTCTTTTTGTTTACTTGTTTTTCTTCAGAATTTTTGCATTTATATTCAGGAGAGGGATTCACTATATACTCTTCAACTTAATCTATTCTTGTTAGGTTCAATTTTCAAGGTTATACCAGCCCTAAAATATGGGCTAGGAAATGTTCCTTTTTCTTTTAAAAATATGGGTGACTTTGATCAGTGTTTAATTTTTCCTACAAAGAGTATGGAAATTTCACCAGTGAGGAAAACTGTTCTGGTCTGTGGGAACATTTTAAATTGTGGATGTACACACACACACACACACACACACACACAATCTCTTATTATGTCAGTTTTAGAAAGATAAATGTGTGGGTGGTAATTTATGGATTGTCCATTTTTTCCACATTTTAAAATGTTTTGTATTCAGCTGTCCAACATATTCCAGGTTCTATTGGTTTCCGCTTTTGGCAAACATTTCTTGACAGGTACTGATATTCAAAATATCCCACCCATGATCCTACACGAATATCAGCCTTTCTTCCGTTTGTCAGCATCTCATTGTCAATTCTGTTAAAATTCTCAGACTTGTCCCAGCTTCTTTAGAATTTCCCGGTACACTGAGGAGAAAAGAGCTACTTTAAAACTGGTGGGTGCATGGAAGAGAAGAATGCTGCTTAAAATTAGCAGATGTGTTGAGGGCAAAAGCAGCACTCAAGTTTGGACTCCCCTCTCTGCTTCATTTTTTTCCTGAGATCTTAGCCCTAACAGCGCTTTGTGCTTTGATAGATTCTTATGCTTTCCGACATAAATTTTCTGTGTTTGGTTGACATCACCAGGTGTGGTGGTCCCAAATGAGCTAGCCCACTCTGGTGGTCTTGCATATACTACTGTGAGGAAAGCAAAGGGATAATGTTCCCAGCTGCTGCAGTCTAATTCATCTCTATAGTGGTGCTGAACATGCTTCTCATGGTTGTTCCAACTGATAACTGAGTATGACAGAGATTCTCAAGCTAGCCTATTCCTATGAGCTGTGAGAATCCTCAGACAGATGATTTTTCCTGTAGGAATTTCCATTGGCCTTGCCAAATTTTCTTAATACTGCACTGCAATTGAAAAATTTATTTCCTTTCTCCTTTTTTCACAGAGATCAGGATAGAATTGCTGTTTGACATCTCTCCCAACTTCCTTATGCTCTCCGGAGCAGAACACTTCACAGCAGTTATCAATCCCAGGGGGAGGATCCAAACACTTCTTCCTATTGCATCTTGGAACTGGAGTCACTAAGAAAAATGCAACATGGTCAAGCACTGGGTAGAACAACACACTTTACTTACAGAGAGAAGAAACAGAACAAGATAAGCTTAATAGAGTGCTGTGATCCCTTATGGCTAGCACGTCACCCAGGCAGGTCACCCAGGCAGGTGGCTGAGAATGGGCAATTGGCCTACACGCACCCCTGTCGGGCTGAAGCAGAAGAACCCAACCCCTCCTCCATGGAGTCTGAAATAGTAAAAACTGGGTATGTTCCTGAGGACCATTGACTTACGAGCTTAAACGGAACAAAGGAGTGCACCCTGAGCTTATAAGAAAAGATACTTGCATATAAGACAATAGGCCCTGCAGAGGCTATCTGGGCTTTTGATGTTTTGCAATAAAAAATTTCTAGGATCAAGGCCCATTTTTATGCAGTCAACTGGGGGTGGAAAGACCCCACAAACTACCTTTCCCAACAGCCTGTCTTCCTTGTTGAGAAAATTCTCTCAAGGTATTTACCAGCAGTAAGTTGTTTGATCCTCTAGAATGTCTAATGTCATCTTGATGTTGGATTATTGTGTTACCAAGCTAACACAAGTGATGCCAAGAATAGCCTGAGAAATGCAGCAGTAAGATGGGGATTTATGACTGACCCACCCCCTTGCTGGCGGGTGAGAGGATGCCATCTCTGTTGGAAGGTGAGGCTCGAATCATTCTTGGCACAAAGTCCCAGGTCAGTCATCTGCCAGTTGGTGTTAGCCAGTGTCAAAGGACAAGACTACAATACATTTAGTTAATGATATAACTGGCTTTCTTTCATGATTCATGAATTGGGGTAGCATTCTATTCTGTAGAATAAGAGCTTCCCTGAGCTGAGCAGAAAAGGATGGCTTCATAGGCAGAAAAAGACTGAAGAAAGAAATAATGAATGGAAAGTGAATTGCTTGTTCCAGGGTTACTTTCCTTACAGAATTAAAACGAGGGGACTTCCTTATTATGCTAAATTGAATTGACTGGAATCTTGCTTGTTTTTCTTCTTGAAATTTTGCCCATTTCAAAGTTCAGTTTGATTAAGTGGCACTTATCAGGAGTGACTCCATTCTGGTTTGGTCTGGTCTACTGAGGCCTAGTGCAGGAAGGCAGTTCAAGACAATGACCTCCCATAAAATTTGGTTAACATCATGCTTTATTATCAGTCACATGAAAACTGCCTGAATTGTCACAGAATGGAGTGGCAAAGTTGGAGACTACATGTGGATCTAAGAGCTTAGACGCTTAATTATAATAGCTGATCTAGCTACTCCTGCCTCTGAAAGACCAACTTGTCAACCTTTAATATGAATATCCCTTAAAGGAACCTAAAGGACACTTGGTGGTAAATTGACTATATTGAGCTTCTCCCTTCCACGAAGGTCGTGGATACCCATTCTGGTTATAAGTCTGCTTTGCCACCCTTGAGTCTGAGCCAAAATCCTTCACTGGTGCTTATGGTATGCCTGATACACAGCGTAGCTTCTGATCAGGAAACCCTCTTGACAGTGAAGGATGTGAGGGGCAAAGCCCAAACCCATGGGCTTCAATCATTGTATCACACACAGACCCATCCATAAGCAGCTGGTATCACAAGGTGTTGGAAGAGCTTCTAAATGCACCCTCCTCAAGTCTCAGGTGTAAGACAATAATCAAAAAGGATGTGGTATTTCATAGGAAGAAAAAAGTTGTTCATCATTAGAAAGAACAGAAGGTCTTGAAACCAAGGAGGAGAAAAACGAGTAACTCCACTTACTACACTTCCTATTGATTTAATGAAGGATTTGCTTCCCATCTCTGCAAATCTGGGTTCATCAGCTTGAAGGTCCTGTTCCTCAAAGCTGGTGTATTTTGGTGACTAGAAGCAGCAAGTGTCCCAATGGACTACCATTTATGACTACCAGGGAAGTTCAGACTCCTTGTGCCCAAAGTTTACCAGGTGAAAAGAATTGTCACTATACTGGCAGGAATAATTGATCTTGATCAGTAGGAAGAGATAGGGCTGCTTTTAGGGAGGAAACAATCTTTGTGATGTCCAGTTAATTCATTTGAGTTTCTCATAGTAATTCTGTGTTGTACTATGTTTGTGAATAAACATATGCAGCAAACCTAGACCAAGAAGCTTAAGATTATTAAGCATTCAGCAGCCACACAAGAAAAGCCAGTGTGACTTGCCAAGTTACTAGCTGACAGTGAGAAAAAAATTTAATGTATAACAGGGTGGGGGAATGAGTACCAACCAGTTGGAGCCCTGGGGGCATCTGCAGCCTGGGCCTATAATTCATCCTACTAACTTTCCTCTTCTGACTTTCCTCTCAGGAAGAAAGGCCTGCAGATACAATAGAAAAGCCTTCACACAAATCTGCTGGAGAAGTAGATCCGGGTGAAACAGCAGGAAAACTGTCGTAAAAATGCATATCTCAGATCTCCTACTAGTAGGGTCATAAGCAACCCATGACTCCAGCTGCTGAGGTCTAAATCTGTCACTACTTATGCTCGGAGACTATTTCCTGTGGAGGAAGTATTCTTAACCAATTACTGCATTTGGCTGTGATATGAAAGTTGGCTCAGTCCTGTAAGTTTCCAGATTCTTCTAAGAGTGAACTGCATTGTAATCTGAGAATTTATGTTTTCCCTTCCTTTCATTCTTCTCTTTCAAAGGGTTTAGTACTACATTGTAGTTCGATGGTTTTCCAGCCTCCTCTGGTTTCTCAATACACAAAAGTTCTTCCAGTAAATCTTTTACATACATAATGCTTTCTTGGTCTCTGCTTTGTAGAGAACCTGGAGTAATACCTCTTATTCATACAAGCTAAATTTAACAACATAATTTATTTTATTTAAGGTACTAGGGGAACACAAAAGGAAATTTTTAAAATAAACTTTATGAGGAGGATGCTCTGCTAGTACAGTAAAAAAAAAAAAATGAGAAGTGGTTTCATGATGACTAACCAAAGAAAACTCTACTAGCCTCCTCTACAAAGAAGAAGCAAATTATGAGTAATCACAATTTGAATGGATCATCCAAAACAAAGCATGCAAATTCAACAGAGAAGTGATAGGAAACACCTAAGCAAGGAAGGAGGGAGAAGCCTGGAAACCTGTTTGGCTGGGATGGGCTGGAGCCTAGAGAAACTCCCCACTGTGGAGGAAAGGTAAGTGAGAGAACAGACTACTGCAATCTTAGCCATGGTAGAGCCTCTCAAACTTTGCAGGTTCTAAAATAGGGAGCTGCCTGAGACTGTACGATGGCACTTCTCCAGAGAGAAAGCTGACATTGAGTCCCACTCATGCCCCAAGTCCTAAGAAGCTCCAAAAAGGCACTATTTTGAGAACCCAACCATGAACAGACAGCACCTTACACTGGGGCCTAACCACACCTGCAGCTCCACATTCCTGGGGCCCCACTGAGTTCCCTTGCCTGCAGCCACCACCATGGCTGGCTGCTGTCACAAGGGTGGAAGAATGGGGTGTTGGCAGCAAACTTGCCTCCTTGAGCAGCAGAGCCACAATTCATTTTCATGAGCCCACACAGAGTTCCCCACCCATGGCTGCCATCACTGCAGGCTGCTGCCACTGGGGCTAGAGTGCAAGTGAAGCGCACCTTCCCCACCTGCCTGCCACTGACTGCTGCCCACCATCTTCAGTAGCAGGACCTCAGTGTACCCACTGCTACTCTCCACCCAAGCATTCTGCCAGGGTCCTGCAGATAATTTCAGCCCTGCCTACGACATCCAGTACCTACACACACCTTCAGGGGACCTAAGGACAAGCCTGCGCAGCCTGGCTTCACAACCCTCATGCAGGAGCATGATGTCCAGGGACCTGGTAATTGCCAAACCCCTGTCCACCACCATTGGCACCTGAGCACTCCTCCTGGAAGCCTGAGGTTGGGCCTCCCTTACCCTACTGCTACCACCACAGCTGGCACCTACCTGCCTGTACCACATGTAGGCCTGGAGACTGGTCAGCTCAGCTCAATACAAATATCACCAACACCAGCCTTCACTGCTCAGAACCGAGAGGATTGTCCCAATATAGCTATCATCATCTTCCACACCAGGCCTGCTGCCCAGGAGCCGAAGAACCCTCCCACACCCGTGGCCCACAACTGCCACTACTAGCTTCCAAGCAAGCCACCTGGAAGCCGAAGTATTGACCAACCTGGACCAACTTATACCAGTGCCAGTGTACATTGCTCTGGTGCCCAAGAACAGGCATGCTCATCCCACAGATGCCACCATGGGGCCCAAAGACTGGGATACAATTTATCCCTGTCCCCAGCAAAACTTCACCACAGCCTCCACTAATAACCACACCTTCAGTCACTGAGGATAATACAGATACCACTGATGCTGATTTATAGTCAAAGAAATAATATAGAGACTACATGACTGCACAAGTGCAGAACCCTACCCAACCAACTCCATAGATATATCCCCCCCAAAAGTCCTCCCATACTAAAGCCACTCCAAAAAAATCAGAAAAAGCAACTGTTACACCATATTTGCAGATATCAACATAAGGACACATAAAATATAAAACAGCAAGGAAATATGACACCTCCAAAGGGACACAATAATTCTTCAGCAATGGATCGGAACAATAAAAGGATTAAAAGGATTACAACCCAGAAAAAATTTAAAACACTGATTTTAGAGGTGGCAGACCAAAATGCCAAAATAGGACCTTCCAGTGATCATCCCTCCTGCAAGAAGACCAATCTGAACCACTATGCACACAAGATAGCACCTTCATAAAAACCAAAAATCAAGTCAGTAATCATAGTACCTGGTATAACATCATATAAAGGAAAGAGACACTGAAGAAGGTAGGAAAGTCAGTCCTGCATTGCCTACAGTGCCCCTCCTTCACCCCCCCAGCAGTGGCCATATGGCACAAAGAATCTGTTTGCTTGGGGGAAGGAGAGCACAGTGATTATCAGACTTTGCATTAGAATCCAATGCTGCCCTGTCACAGTGGAAATCAACATAGAGCAGAATTGAGCCTGGGCCCATGGAGGGAGGTGAATTGTCCATCCCAATGGTCAGCAATTGAGTTCCAGCTAGCCCCACCTGTGGCCTAAACTGCCTTTCAAATTTATTTTAAACCCCAGACGAAAGTGTTCTGGGGTCATAAATAAATTTGAAAGGCAGTTTAGGTCACAAGGATTGCAATTCCTGGGCAAGTCCTGGTGCCATTCTGGGCTTGGAGCCAGTGGACTTGAGTGCATATCACCTAGTGAAACACCAGCGGGGGTGGCCAAGGGGTGACATCGCCCCTCCCCAATACCAGGCAGCACAGCTCACAGCTCTAGAAAAGTGAAGAGGACTGTGTCTTGCAACTTGAATGCAAGCTCAACTATAGTAAAATAAGGCACTAAGCAGACTCGTAGATAATATGACTAGATAGATCTCTATGAGGAAAACTGCAAAACACTGATTAAAGAAACTGAAGAGGACAGAAACAAATGGAAATTCATCCCAGGCTCATGGAACCTGTATTAGTCTGTTTTCACAGTGCTATAAAGAAATACCCAAGACTGGGTAATTTAGAGAGAAAAGAGTTTTAATTGACTTACAATTCTGCATGTCTGGGGAGGCCTCAGGAAACTTATAATCATGGCAGAAGGTGAAGAGAAAGCAAGTACCTTCTTCACATGACAGCAGGAGGGAGGGGAGAGAGCGAAGGGAGAAGACATGCTTATAAAACTGTGAGAACTGCTTCACTATCATGAGAACTGCATTGGGGAAACCGCCCCCATGATCCCCTGGTCCCTCCCTCAACATGTAGGGATTATGGGGATTACAATTCAAGATGAGATTTGGGTGGGGACAGAGCCAAACCATATCAGAACCAAAGAATGAATACCCTAAAATGACAATACTGCCCAAACAAATCTGCAGACTCAATGCAATATTTATCAAAATATCAATATCATTTTTTATAGAATTAGAAAAAAAAATCCTAAAATTTATGTGGAACCAAGAAAGAGCCCAAATAGTCAAAGCAATTCTGAATTTAAAAATAAAACACAACAAAACAAAGCTGGAGGCATCGCAGTACCTGACTTCAAAATATGTTACAAGGCATAGTGACCAAAACAAGATGGTGCTGGTATAAAAACAGACATGTACACGAATTGAACAGAATAAAGAATCCAGAAATAAACTCATATGTTACAGCCAAATGATTTTTGACAAAGGCACTGATAACATACACTGGGAAAGGACACCCTCCTCAATAAATGGTGCTGGGAAAACTGGAGATCCATATGCAGAAGAATGCAAGTGGACCCCTATCTCATACCATATTTAAAAAGTCAACTCAATACAGATGAATGACTTTAATATTAGACCCATAACTACAAAACTACATTAAGAAAACATTGGGAAAACACTTCAGGACACATGTCTAGACATTTTGTGGCCAAAACCTCAAAAGCACAGAGAACAAAACCAAAAATAGACAAATGGGACAATTTTAAATTAATAAGCTTCTGCACAGCAAAGGAACAACAAAGTGAAGAGAAAACATTTTGAATGAGAGAAAATATTTGCAAACTATTCAAGGGACTAATATTCAGACTATGCAAAGAACTCAAATAACTCAACAGTAAAAAAATAAATAAATAAAAAATAATCCCACTAAAAAGTTTACAAAGGACAAGAATAGAAAATTCTCAAAAGAAGTCATGCAAATTTCCAATAGGTATATGAAAAAATGCTCAACATCATTAATCATCAGGGAAATGCAAATCAAAACTATAATGAGATATCCTCTTAAACAAATTGAAATGGCTATTAGTAAAAACAGAAAAAAAATAATAGATACTGGTTAGGATATGGAAAAAAGGAACTCATATAATCTTGGTGGGGATGTAAATTAGTACAGTAACTATGCAAAACAGTGTGGAGACTTAAAAAAAAAAAAGAACTAAAAATACGACTAGCATATTAACCAGCAATCTCACTACTGGATATTCATTCAAAGGAAAAGAAATCAGTATATTAAAGGGTTACTTGGACTTACATGTTTATTGCAGCACTATTGTCAATAACTGAGATATGGAATCAACCTAAGTGTCCATCAACAAATGAAGAAATAAAATGTCATATATATATGTAATTAAATATTATTTAGTGATATGAATGAAATTATGTCATTTGTAGCAATATTGATGGCACTGGAGGATGGCCCTGGAGGTCATTATGTTAAGTGAAATACACCAGGCAGAGAAAAGTATTTTACATGTTCTAAATCGTAAGTGGGAGCTAAGAAATTTCATCGAATGGAGGTAGAGAATAGAATAATATTAATAGATACCAGAGGCTGGGAAAGATGTGTGTATAGTATGGGAAATGAAGAGAGCTTAGGTGATGGATCCAAATGTACAGCTAGATTGAAGTTAAGTAAGTTCTTATGTTTGAAAGTAGAGTAGGGTGAGTATGGTCAGCAACAATACATTATGTATTTCAAAGTAGCTAGAAGAGAGGACATGAAGGGTACCCAACACATAAAAATGATAAATACTTGAGGTAATGGATACCTCAGAATACTCACATGTATACCACAATATGTAAAATATAGTGTATCAATTGAAAAATGAGAGGTGTACTCTCACATGATAGGGTAAAATAGACAAGATGTAACAGCATATCCAATTGTTTAGAAATAAAGAAATGCATAGGGCATTCAAGAACAGAATGTCATTCTTTGTGGATTTAATTTTTGCTACCAAACTTACATTTTGAAGTAATTCAGAATATATAATACATAATTTAAAAGTTTCATCTTTTAAATTAGTCATCTGATAAAAGATCAACTACAGATAACTAATTTTGTCTTTAATCATTTTAACATTCAAAGTGGCTATTGCTGTTCCGAATTAGGCATAAACAAAATTGTGAAGTAACTAAAATTGGCATTGGATATTATTTTTCAACATGCAAGTGTTCATCTCACTTTTAATTAAAAAAAAATCCATAAAATGCTCAGTGCTGTTAGAATATAAAATCTGAAAATAAAATCTAATATTTATTTAGAATGTGACATAAAAGACTGCTAAATCTCAGTGTTATTCTAGAATTGCTCTTTGCACTTATTTTTAGCCATGGCTTTTAAGTGCAACGAATAATGAACTCATAACTTTGGAGGATTTGATTAGCCCAATGCAGCATGCTGAAAGTAGCTTTTAGAGCACACGGTTTAAATAAAAAGAAAATGCATAAGCTTTTACACTTGACTCCACAATATATTTTAGTTAATTTTATTATAAAAATTCTCCCCATTTATTCTATAAAAATGGTGCTCCAAGATGATATTTTGTTTTATTTTTTATTTTTAAATTGAGATCGGTTCTTGCTCTGTCATCCAGGTTGGAGTGCAGTGTAGCACAATCGCAGCTGACTGTAGCCTCAACTTCTCAGGCTCCAGTGACCCTCCTACCTCAGCCTTCCAAGTAGCTGGGACCACAGGCATGTGTCACCATGCTTGGCTAATTCTTGTATTTTTGGTAGAGATGAGTTCTCACTATGTTGTCCAAGCTGGTCTTGAACTCCTGAGCTCAAGCTATCCACCCATTTGGGCCTCCCAACGTGCCGGAATTACAGGTGTGAGCCACCACACCCAGACTCTAAGATGATATTTTAAAATATCTGTGAAACAGACACAAATTTAAGGGCAAGGCATGAATCACCCATTGTTAAATTCAACATGGCAGATGCATTAACACACTTTTTCAACTCATCCACCCACTATATATTTTATATCAGAACATCACTATGTACCCCACAAATATGTACAATTTTTATTTGCCAATTAAAGTTAAAAGTAAAAGATACAAAAGGCACTAATGAGAATAAATAAATAAACAAATATACAAAAGACAAAAAATAAAAATAAGCAGAGTCTCTTGCTGGTTTTATTAAGACTAGGTGCAGTTGTCATCTGCTCAGACTCCTACTAATAGTGCTCAAATTTGGACTTCAGATATTAGAAAATCTTGAAATTCTTTCTTGCAAGTGCTGTATACAAAACATTTGCATAAATAGTAAACAATTTCCTAGTTACATCTCTCTGAACAGCTGTTAGGGTGACAAGTTAAAACTGAGATTTTTCCAATTTTTACTGAACACTATCAGTTCTGTATTTCCTATTTTTAAAAAATATATTTCTTCAATGTATTAGCCTTCAAAGCTTTATGCCCACAAATGGAACTCAAAAAGGAGGAATTTATACAAACAAAGTAATAGTAGTAGCAGGAACAAGAAGCTTTAGCCATTGATAGCATCAACACTGGATTTTAGACAGACAATTTACAATCAATATTTTAATGTTCAAGCAAGGTTAGTATAAAATAAATATGCCCAAAAAGTGAACTGACCTTTATTTAACATTTTTTATTAGCTATTTCCTAAGTATCAGGTGTTCTTTAGATACTGAGATATTTGAATGAATGAAATTTGAAATGACTCATTTAACGAACTAACCATTGTAATTGATTTTTCCCCATTTTGTTGAACTAACCATTGCAATTGATACAAATCGATTATAAACAAAATAGGGGACAAAAGTAACAGAAGTAAAGCAAGACAACACCAGACACAGTCATGTTACTCTCATCATTTCCCCTTTATTCGGACAGGTGTCCTGGTGTCACTTTAAGAATACATTCTGACATTGACTTTTTGATGCTTTCATAAAAGATAAGCCCAACTTTTTTGTGTTATTCTACAAATGATGGAAAAATTTGCTAGGTCAGCTATAATTTTTCTATTTTAATTAGATTTATTTCTTGCTTGCAGTCTTTTCACAACGGAAACTAAAACTCTGATAATTGTGAAGCCACTTTACTTATAGTATAGGTTTTAGATAGATTCCCTTTATTTCTAGACTGTTTACGTATCTAGTATTCTGTTTCCAGGCAATAACAAACAACTATCCTACAAGAACAGCCCACCTGTTAGCACTGTATAAGAGATTTTGTCCAGTTCTATGCAGGTACCTTTTTAAAAATTAAACCAAATAAAATGTCAATAAGTACACTCAACATTTTTCTTGTCAATTGCTGTTGCATTATGGCAAATCATGCTTTCTAACTTTTCACATTGCACAGTACATTGAACTGCACTCCAAGTGTTTGTTCAAAACTGAAACAGATCCATCAGTGTTTGTAAGCAAGTGGTGATAATCTATTTTCTGGGAACAGGGAAACAATTTGATACTTTGAATTCACAATGCAATGAATTTGAAACTTTGATTTACCATTCCTGGATGTAGTTTTACATCTTTGTTGTTTCTCCTTCCTTAATTTTTGATTCCTTGTAAGTGAAATATTTCTGTCTGCACTGTGAATCAGCATTAAGATTTTTGTTCTCAATAAATTTTACATTATATCTTATCTTTTTTTCATACTTAAAATGGTAGTTTGTTTGGAGTTATCGCTAAATAGTATCTTCCCCAAATAAATGACTGCTATCTACTTATCACAACTCAGCACTTTCTTTTAAGTTAAAAAAAAAAAAGAAAAACAGTTTAATGTCTGGCAAAGTATCTATGCCTATTAAAGGTTTTTGTTTTCTTTTGTTTTTTTCATTCCTTAAATCCAGTTATTTACTCAAATCTGTTATTTTGTGTATCATTATACCTTAGGTTTTATTATTTTTAGTAATATTGTTATCATTTATCATTAATTTGACTAACTGTTCATTTAGGTTTCTGTTGACCTGTTCAATGAGATTTATATATTTTTGATGAATATAAAACTAAGCATTTGAAAACGCTTTATATTGAGATAATTTTTAGACACAGTTGTAAATCTGGCATAGACAGTCTCCATCTACCTTTATTCAACTTCTCTTATATTGTCACCTTTCATATCAACAGAAAAATTATTGAAATTTAGCCTATCCCAAAAGAAACAGCTCTGTTTCAGAACAGTGTATGTCTGCAAGATTAAGAAACCTGATTATTAATATATGGCAGAGAGTATTTTTAATCTTAGAAAAAAGAATAAGAATATATAACCCTTCAAAGGCCCACGTGTTCCATGCTAGATATTTATGAAATAACAACATAAAATTTAGATATTTCTCTTGGTATAGTACTATAAAATAAATTAGAGAATTTATTGTAAGCTCACCAGTGTTTTTTCCATTATATACTTTTCTGTGCTAGTATACAATCCAGAATCACACTTTGCATTTAATTTTCTTAGTTTTCTCCAATCTTGACAGTCCCCAGTATTTTATCTTACCTGACCTTCACACATTTGAAATACACTAGACAGTTATAGAATATCTTTCAGTTTGAATTTGTCTGAATGTTTTCTTTGTATTAAATTGATGGTATACACTATCAGTAAGAATACTATGGAGGTTATCTCTCCTTTTTTTCATTGCCTCAGACCAGGGGATACCTTATGTCTGTACAGGCACACTGTGTTTTCTTGTGCTTTGCTTTATCATGCTTTGCAGATATTGTGGGGTTTTTTTTTCAAGTTTTCTGGCAACCCTGCACACACAAATCTATAGGCACAATTTTTTCAACAGCATTGGCTTACTTCATATTTCTGTGTCACATTTTGGTAATTATCAAAATATTTCAAACTGTTTTATTATTATTATATTTGTTATGTTGATCTGTGATAAGTGATCTTTGATGTTACTATTGTAATTATTTTGGGGTACCACAAATTGTGCCCATATAAAACAATAAAATTAATAAATCATGTTTGTTTTGACTACTCAACTGACCCCCAGATCCCTCACATCTCATCACCTCCTTGGCTCTACCTATTCCCTGAGACACAACAATAGTGAAATCAGGCCAACTAATAAGTCTACAATGGCCTTTAAATGTTCAAGTGAATGGAAGAGTTGTATATCTTTCACTTAAAATCAAAAGCTAGAAATGATTAAACTTAGTGAGGATGGCATGTTGAAACCTGAGGTAGGCCAAAAGCTAGACTTCTTGTGCCAGTTAGAAAAGTTTTAAGTGCAGAGGAAAAGTTATTTAAGGAAATTAAAAGTAATACTCCAGTGAACACATAGATAATAAGAAACAGTTTTATTGTTGATATGGGGAAAGTTTCAGCAGCCTGAATAAAAGATCAAACAAAGCACAACATTTCATTAAGCCTAAGCCCCAAATTTGGCTTTGACTTTGTGATTAAGAACAAGGTACTAACTATCTTCAATTCTATGAATGCTGAGAGAGGCAAGGAAACTACAGAAGAAAAGTTGGAAGCTAACAGAAGTTGGTTCATGAGCTTTCAGAAAAGAAGTCATCTCCACAACATTACCGTGCAGGAAGAAGCAGTAAGCGCTGATGGAAAAGCTGCAACAAGTTGTCCAGAAGATCTAACTAAGATAACTGATCAAGGTGTCTACACTTAACTGATCAAGGTGTCTACACTAAACAACAGATTTTCAGTGTAAACAAAACAGCCTTCTATGGGAAGAAGATGGCATCTAGGCCTTTCATAGCTGAAGAGGAGAAGTCAATGCTTGGCTTCAAAGCTTCAAAGGACAGGCTAATGCAGCTCTTGTTAGGGGCTAATGCAGCTGGGGAATTTGAGTTGAAACCAATACTCATTTACCATTCTAAATATCCTAGCGCTTTTAAGAATTATGCTAAATCTAGTCTGCTTGTGCTCTACAAATAAAATGATAAAGTCTAGATGACAGCACATTTGTTTCCAGCATGGTTTACTGAATATTTTAAGCCTACTGTGTAGACCTAATGCTCAGAAAAAAAGATTACTTTCAACATATTACTTCTCATTGACAATACACCTAAATCATCCAGGAACTCAGAGGGAGGTGTACAAGGAGATTAATGTTGTTTCTCAAGGCTCCTAGTGCAGCATCCATTCTGCAGCCCATGGATCAAGAAGTAATTTCAGCTTTCATTCTCATATAAGAAATACATTTTGTAAGGTACAGCTGCCAAAGATAATGATCCCTCTGATGGATCTGAACAAAATAAATTGAAAACCTTCTGAAAAGGATTCACCATTCTAGATGTCATTAAGATTATTCATAATTCATGGGAGGAGATAAAAATATCAACATTAACAAGGATTTGGCAGAAGTTGATTAACTTTCATGGCTGACATTGAGGTGTTCAAGGCTCAGTGGCAGAAGGAACCGCAGATGTGGTAGAAATTTCAAGAGAACTAAGATTAGAAGTGGAGCGTGAAGATGTAGCTTGATTGGTGCAATCTCATGATACAACTTGAATGGATGAGAAGTTGCTTTTTATGAATGAGCAAAGAAAGTGTTTTCTTGAGATGAAATCTACTTCTGATGAAGATGCTGTGAACATTGTTGAAATGACAACAAAGGACTTAGAATATTACACAAACTTATCGATAAGGCAGCGGCAGAATTTAAGAGGATTGACACCAATTTTGAAAGTTCTACTGTTGGGAAAATGCTATCAAAGAGCATCACATGCTATAAAGTAATCTTTCATCGAAGGAATAGTCAACTGATGTGGCAAAATTTATCATCTTATTTTTAAAAATTGTCAATGTCACCTTCAGCAACCACCACCCTGATCAGTAGCCATCAACATCGAGGCAAGATCCCCAACCAGCAAAATGATTATAACTCGCTGAAGGCTCAGATAATTGTTAGCAATTTTAGCAATAAAGTACTTTTTAATTAATGCAAGTACATTGTCTGTTTAGAAATAATGCTATTGCACACATAATAGACTACAATATAGTGTAAACATAACTTACATATGCACTGAGAAACCACAAAACGTGTGATTTGTTCTTTCATGATATTCACTTTTTTGTTGTGGTTTGGAATCAAATCCATGGTTTCTTCATGGTATGCCTGTATGTATTATTAATGTTGTTATCCATCTCTTGCTTAGCATGGCATCTGCTAGGATATAAAATTACTGTTTTTTTTATCCCCTTGGAATTTATTAAATGTAAGGGGGAGATATTTTGAGACTATGCAAATACGCTGTTTCTGCTTAAACAGTCATCTCCTAAATTTAACATCCATAATTAGATCTTGCCTGCAGCAATTATTCCTGGGTTATTCTAATTGTAGTTTTGCATTTTATTCTACATTTATGAACCAGAATTATTTTGTAAGGAAGAGTTATTACTTCTCCTCCATGTATTTTTGCATCCAGTATTTATTTATATGTGCATAGTTTCATATTTTGAGGATATCCAGGTTAAGTATGATTAACTTTTTTAGCACTCCATTGCTACGTTTGCTCCAAGATTATTTTGTATTTTTCTGCCTCATGCCTGGAATCAATCAGACCCCCTAAGGAACTTGGAATTTTTCACTGAGGAATGACTTTTAAGAACCAACATCTGGACTCTAGGTGTGTTCTTTGCTACTGACCTGTCATTGCTTCTAGTCCCTCTCAAGGATCAAGCTGGGAAATGTGTGGATGTATATTAAGTCATTTATATATATATTATATATATATAATATATATATAGTATATAATATATATTAATATATATATTAAGTCACCTATTAATTTATGTCCTTTGATCTGTATGTGTATGTATATGTTAGTGTATATGTGTATGTGAATGTTATATATATATATAGATACACACGTTAAATATGTATGTATACACAGGTTAAATGTTAAATATATACATATACACATATGCACATAAAATAACATTTGCTCATACTGATATTTCTGACTCCAATCCATTACCACCACAGACTTTATTCTAGTATTTCCCCATTTTCTGATGTTTTTTTTCTCTTTCTTCAGCAGTGACTTCTATTTTCTAAAATATATTTAACTTTTTCTTCAAGCCTGGAATATAAATAGTATAGATTCAGAACCGCTAATGCATATCCCTGTGAGGAATACTAAATTGCCCAATGAAGTACAATGTGTATAGAACGAATTTTTTCATTTTGTTGTCTTTGGCCTTACAACATTTAGTTGAAAAGTTGTTTTCAAAATTTACTCAAGCCAGCTCCTTTTTTCCTATCCCTTTCAGTAGTTATATGATTTATTTTTAATAGAGTTAGATTCATTTATCACAGTCTACATTTCCTCTTTCTTCCCACATCCTGATAAATCTTTTTAAATGCTCCATTCAGTAAAATTCACACTTTGTAGAGTACACTTCTGTGGATTTTGAAAAATGAAATTAGTTGCATATTCACAACTATAATTCCATATGAAATGTAATATTACCCATAAAATTCCTTTGCTATACCCCTCCATGGTAAATCCATCTCCCCTCCTCCCCAGACCCTGGCAAGAACAGATTTCTTTTCAATACCCATTGTTTTGTTTTTACTCACATTTCATATAAAGGAATCACATAGTATGTTGTCTTCTGAGTCTGACTTCTTTCACTTAGGACAATGCATATATGATTTGTAATGGTTAATATTGTCAACTTGATTGGATTGAAGGATGCAAAGTGTTGTTCCTCATTGTGTCTATGAAGGTGTTGCCAAAGGAGATTAACATTTGAGTCAGTGGACTAGGACAGGCGGACCCACCTTCAATCTGAGTGGGTACCCTTAATCAGCTGCCAGTATAGCTAAAATAAAGCAGGCAGGAGAAGGCGGAAGAGCAGGCTTCCTGAATCTTCCAGCCTCCATCTTTCTCCTGTGCTGAATGCTTCCTGCCCTCAAACATCAGACTGCAAGATGATTCAACTCTGATGTTACAAAAATTGATAGATCGATGCTATTTATTGCTAAGCAATATTTCATTACATGAGTGTACCAGAGTTTGTATATTCATTTGACTCATTTTCCTTGATCTTGTATTTGTGGTTTTGTGTCATTACTTTCAAGAAATTAGGTATATTAAATGGATTGACAATGTTGCATGACTTTTGAATGGTCTCTTTTGGTAGTTTTTCACTAATTTTTCTCTTTATGTTTCTGTTTGAATAATTTCTATGGATCTAAGTTCAGTGAATCTTTTATGAATTTTGTCATGTTTACAGATGAGCATATCACAAATATTTCTAGTCCTCTTACTGTTTAACATGTCTAGCATTTCCCTTTCATTCTTTGTTATAATTGTAATCTCTGATAAAATTATCCACTTGCATATTGCTCACCCTTTCCAAAATAATTTCAAAAAATTTAGTACATTATTAATACTAGTCAGTTTCTATATCTTTGTCATAACTGAGTATGGTTTTGATGGTTGCTTTGTCTCTTTTAAGTGTGTTTTCCTTATCATTTTATAAGCCTTGCAATTTTTCTTAAATCCAGGCATTCTTTTCAGGACAGTAGGTATGAGTTAAGTAGCTCTTATGACCATGATTCCGTCTAATAGATCTTTATTGTGAGCATTTGAGTTAATCTAGGTAAGAATTGTACTAGGGTGTGAAGGTCGTTGTTACTGTGGCTACATTACTATGCCTTTAGTGCAATGTCTGTTCATAGAAAAAATGAATTTTTTTAAGTATGCCAACTGTTCTTACTCATAAAACGGAACAAAAAATAATTGCGTATGAATGGCAAAAATATAGTTAATAATCCTATAATACTTTTCTTTCTCTGATATGGTTTGGATTTGTGTCCCTGCTCAAATCTCATGCCGAATTTTAATCCCCAAAGTTGAAGGAGGGTCATGGTGGGAGCTGACTGGATCATGAGGGCAGATTTCCTCTTTGCTGTTCTTGTGAGAGTGAGTTCTCACGAGATTTGGTTGTTTAAAAGTGTGTGGCACTTCCTCCTTCACTCTCTTCCTCCTGCTCTGGCCACATAAGACGTGCCTGCTTCCCTTTTCATTATGACTGAAAGTTTCTCAAGGCCTCTCCAGCCATGCTTCCTTTACAGCCTGTGGAACAAAGAGCCAAAAATCTCTTTTCTTTATAAATTACCCAGTCTCAGGTATTTCTTTATAGTAGTGTGAAAACGAATTAATACATTCTTAAGAAAAGTCAATCCTAAATCTCAATACACACATTGCTTTAACTATGAAAACACAACTTTCAAGTATGCCTTGCACATATAAGTTTTGTTATGTGTTTATTTGAAATTGCATTAAGAAGCCTTAAAATCATCTTAAAAATCAAGAACTATTAGATAATAAACAAAAGTAAGATAACATATGCTCTAACTCAAATCATGAGTAAATCTCAATGATAGGATTTGTGTAAATTTGTTATTATACTTATATTGAACATAAAATAACTATAATAACATTAAGTAAGACACCTCTTTCCTTATACATTATCATTGTTTTAAAATGTATAATCCTAAGTTATTATTGTCCTGATATTAATAATTTTATAAAGTTTACTTGTATTAACTTTTAATGTTAAATCACATTGCATCATAATTGAATGCAAAATTGAATTATCAGAAGAAAAACAGAAATACTGACCCCCAAAATAAATTTATTCTCAGTCTTTATAACCACTCTGCTTAAGATGACTAATAAATGTATTTATATTCATTAAGGCTGGTTATGATAGCATGTGCCTATAGTCCCAGTTACTCAGGAGGCTGAAATGGGAGGATTTTTTGAGCCCAAGAGTTTGAGGACAGCCTGGGCAACATAATGAGACCCCATCTATTACAAAAATAAAATTTTATTAAAAAGTAGTTATATTAATAATAAAAATTATTTTTAAACTTAGAATTTGATTCACATGATATTAAAGAGTCACATTAAAGAATCTAAAGTATATTTTTCACCATTCATAACTTATGAAAAGAAAGCAATAATAAAATAGTTCTCTGACATTTATTTATTAATTGTTTATCACTAATATATACCATACTGAGTCTTTGGATTAAATCATCCATGCTAAAAAAGTGTGGCATAAAATATTTTCACTTTAAACACTTATAAAATTGTAAGATTAGCAAGTATCTACATTTGCTGTTTCTATGATTAATACCTTCATAAATATAAACTCTGTTTATATCAAAACTCTTGATTCAGAAGAAGAGACTTCTTGTCCAAATTTTATCAAAATATAAGCCAAAATATAGGCCAGTGGAAAAATGTTTGAGAAAAAATGAAACAATGAAATAGTTTGAAATTGATAAAAATATGTATTTACCTGAAAATATGGCTTCAGGCTTTGCCACTTTGAATTTAATTTGCAGTTTTAGGAGTAGCACATAAAAGTGAAATGAAGAAGAAAATTCTTCAAAAATACTTATCAGTGAATCACATTTATACAGCAAAATTTTCAAAAGCTTTGTTCAATAAGCTATTGTTTAAGAAAAATTAAAATTGTTTTGATTCACAATTCTACTCCAGCAAGTAAAGTTGCATATTATTAACATCGTCTTCACATTTTATAAAAGTAAAATTATTGCTCAATGCAGTGCATTATATTTACCTAGTGCAATAGTTTGAATACAATTTGGCATCACCAAAACTCATGGTCCCCAGTGTGGCAAAACTGGCAGGTGGTTCCTTTAAGAGGTGATTAGATCATTAAGGTAGATTAATGCCTTTTTCATGGGAATGAGTTTTCTCTCTGGTGGGACTGAGTTAGTCACTAGGAGAGCAGTTTATTATAAAGTGAGGCTGCCTCTCCTAGTTGTTCTCCTTGCACCTGCCTGCTTCCTCATGAGCTTCTCTACAGCATTATGACCCAGCATAAGGCTCTCACCAGAAGCCAACCAGGTAAGGCTGCCAGGTCTTAGACCTTCCAGCCAGCAGAATTTGAGCTAAATAATCCTCTTTCTTTTATGAATTACCCAGTCTCAGGTATCGTGTTATAGCAACAAAATGTAGACCAAGACACCTGGCATAGCTCTTGCACATACTCAGTTCCCTGAAAGGACATGTGTATTTACATTTTAATTATATTTAGATTCACAATTTGTGAATGATTCCCTCACAAATACACGAACATTATTTATATGCCTTTTTCATACTTCCCAGATGAAATCATAGATGTTTAGTAAACTACCATATCTGACTTAGTAATGCCTTAAGAACAACTTTTATCATTGCACACTATTTTACCCAGCGGAATACGTGTGTGTGTGTGTGTGTGTGTGTGTGTGTGTATAATTTATTTTCAATTACTTAATTTTGAATATTTTGTCCTTTGAAAGTTTGGCTGTTATTGTTTATCATGGTGGTTGATGTATATCCATGGTTAACTTTTTAATAGGTCATTAAATTTATCTTCATATCACTTTCAAATTTTTATTATAGGTAAATACATTTTTGTAAATGAAATTTATGTGACCATATACAGACTACACATACAATAATTGCACTTTCAGCCCACTTGTTTTATTGTGCTGACACTATACTTTTTCTTTCTTTCTTTTATTTGGAGCTAAATTAATTTTACTAGTTTATTAAAATAACGATAATCTATGGTTATTAAATATTTGTCTTTATTACATAGTTTGCCGATACGTAAGATGTTTCATTCTTGACTAGGGTAATAACCTTTAGTTACAATAACATTTCTCTTAAAAAATACTATTAAATATCTACAGATTGTTTTATGCACAATTTGTAGACAACTATTTCTAATAAATTAGGATCAATAAGCACTGGGTATCAGGCTATAATTTAAACCTCACTGACGTGTTCATTCATATGCCCATAACTCCATGAGCTGAGAAACAAGAATGTCTCATTTCCCTTGTATTTTTAGACTGCACAGGATGCTCGGCATATTAAGCATAAATAGTGGTTGAAAACATATTTACTAGTTATTGGATAAACTTTTCTCTCTCTATTCAACCTCTAACTTGCTTCATGTATTTTGGGAATAAGCTTGGTTTATCTGATTTTCAATTTATTCACTGATAAAGAAGTTTTATAAAATGCAAAGTAATTAGAAGAGCATCTTTTGTTCTAATTAAACTTTAGCAATCCAGTATATGAAATATAAATAATGGTTTTAGTTGAATTCAGGAACAATCACAGCACTTTAATCTCTTGGCTTCTTTCTTCTCAATGAAAATAATCTGGCTTCATCCCAGTTTACTCAGTCATTCACACATCCTCAAGAGAAGTCGAAGGACAGCTCACTCGATTACAGAAGGCCTGTCTTCCCCCTTACAGTGGTTATGATACAGCCCCTGGCACAAATATTAAAACCACAGTGTTGCAAACTTTCTGTCTTACATCTACAGGGGACGATTGGGTTCCACATTTGGGCAATATATAGTTTGCCAGTATCCTTAACCCCATCACTAGGCATCAGCATGGACCCCAGAAACATATTCTCCCCTATATCCCATCAATTACATCCTTATCACCTCTATTTGCCTTGTATTTGCCAGGGTTGATCTCATGATGCCTTATTTACAGATATATAAGTCATTACCCAGTCTCGTATCTCTTACCTCTCAGTTCCACAGGAGGCCTCAGACTCTTGAATCAGCTATTATTTCCTATACTCCACCCCCCCCCCTTTACCACCTCTTATTTCTCACTACCAGTTATCATTCCTCTGTCCTGATCCTTTTCGCTGGGCTCTCTGAATTTCATGGTTCATCAGCAGCAAAATTTTCAGTATCCATATCTTAACGTGTATTTTGTATTGTTGTTGCTATAACAGAATACTTGAGACTGGGTAATTTATAAAGAAAAGAGGGGTTTATTTAGCACATGGTTCTGAAGACCGAGAAGCTCAAGATCAGGTGAGGGACTCCAGCTTGGTTATAACAGGGCAGAGAAGCAGACGTGAGCACATGCAGAGTCCAAATACAGCAGGCTGGCTCCCTTTATAACAACCTATCTTGTATTAACTAATCCAGTCTATCAGAGTAGGAGTGACAACCCACCCACTCCCACAAGATGGCATTAATCTATTAATCTGTTTCTAAGGCATCTGCCTTCATAACCCAACACTTCCCACTAGGCCCCACCTCCCAACACGATCATACTGGCAATTAAATTTCAGCATGAGTTTGGTGGAAACAAACCACATCCAAACCATACCAATCCTCAACCTCTTATATTTCATTGATTGTTTTCGTTTTTTAAAAAAATCTAGATTCCACAGGGACTCTGTTTCCTATTCAGCCTCTGTTGCTTTTGCCCTATGGTAACACATGGATGTATTTAGGCATGAAAATGGAGCAGTGATCAAGAGGTCTTTAACATTCCCCTCATCTTGACAAAATTTTGGATAAGTTTTCTCTTTTCTTAAATCATTTACTTTAGAAAACTTGTAATTGCAAACTGTTTCTGGCCTTTGTGATGTAAAAACCTCTTGCCAGATTTACTATCCAGAATTGTCTTTCTCAAAGTACTAGGGGCCATTATTTTGAAGGGTAAACTTGAAGGAAGACGGGTTCCCTGTCTCCATGGTAAAGTAGGAGCCAAACTTTGGTGGGTGCCTTGATCCAAGTGGTAAAATCACCTCCTCTCATAAAACAAATTTTACTTTTCCTTTTAGTAAAACCAATTAATTAGCACAGATGGCCAGAATCTCTCCACCTCAGCTCTTGGATCTCTTATCCCTTTTCTGCTCTCCCTCCTATTGCTGCTAATAGTATCATAATAAAATCAATTTCTGTTTACTCATCTTGTCGAGTGCAGTTTTTCTTTGCCCATAGGTAACCTCTGTGATTCACATTGCCACTTTTATAGTTTTATCCTCACACAGCCAGATCCTCAGAGTATTAGTCAGGATTATCTAGAGAAGTAGGACCAATGAGGGATAAAGGAATTGGCTCATGTGTTATGAAGGCCCAGAAATCCCACAACCTGCCATCTATAAGCTGGAGAACTAGAAACACCAGGGTTGTAATTCAGTCCAAGACTGAGGGCCTGAGAACCAGGAGTTCCAAAATCTGAGCGTAGGAAAAGATGAATGTCCTAGATAAGAGAGAGGTTATTTGTTCTTTCTCCACCTTTTTGATCTATTTGAGCCTTCAATAGATTGGATGATGCCAGTCTATTGTGAGATGGTAAGGATGGAACTTCTTTATTCAGTCTACTGATGCAAATGTTAATCTCTTCAGAAACACCCTCACAGACACACCCAAAATGTTTTACCTTCTATGTGGGCATTCCTTAGCCCAATGAAGTTGATGCTTAAGCCATCACATTCAACTTTAATCCTCACATTATCAATTTATATATGAACTGTTTCAGTCAGCCACTTATCCCAGGTTATACTTTTTTTTTTCTTTTTTTACTGATTTTAACAAGTGCTTTACTGTCACTTTTTCCATAGAATTATTTCTAATTCTCGGTAATTTAAATAAATGTTGATGGACAACTCATGGGCCTTTCAGTACTTTGCGATGTTTTACTTCAATAATATTGTCGTCAGCCATACCTCAGTTTCATTTCCATTCAAACTTTAGCTTTACCAATAAATGAAACCTCCTGATAGCATTAACTTCTGTGCCCTGCTCTCTGACTGCTACCTTCTTTTGTTTTGGACGACCTTTGATACTGCTAGATTTTCATGGTAGCTTTCTGTCTGTAGTTTTTCTTTTTCCTACTTACTTTTTCCTACTTACTTGAGTTATGGTCTATGGCCAATCCTTAAAACATTCCCTTACATACAGTCTAAAACAACTTGATTTCTGTTAGGTTTTCCTACTTGTTTGGAAAAATACTAATGCTATTTAAATCAACTCTTCATCCCTTCTGTAACTATTCCATTGAACTTGAATGTGGCTAGAGAATAACACACAACTTTACTGGGAAGTCTCGCTTTACATTTATAATGATAAATTTAAAATGATACATCTGCTTTTGTTAAGAAAACATAATGTATTTTCCTAGTCCATTTAATTTTTCCTATCCCTTAGAAAACTCCCAAGCATTCTACTTTCTCTTTACATTTCCAAGGTATTATCTTCCGTCCATGTTTTCACCTGATGGCCTTACATTAATCTTTACTTAGAAAATTAAAGCAATTAAAAATGAATGTCTATAGAGTCCCACCACTACATCTAATAACCTAGCAGCATCTATGCTCTTCTATTTTATAGATAAAATGTCATATTTTAGAAAATCCAACACACACAATTTATAAGATAGTCTTATTGTATGTCACTTAAGGAAATAAAATAAAATATTGTCAATTATACTATAACACACCATCAATTGTACAATAAATTTAAACATGACATATTAAAGTAAGAAACAAGTAGAGACATTTTACAATGAATAAAATTGAGAAAAATCTGCTTCTATTTATAGGCCATTTATCCACTTACAACATTCTCTCTGCTCTGCATAAAAGCTAATTACAAAATTTCTTCTCACTTCTCATACATTACTATGTTCTCCTCTACAACACATCATTGCAATCAGTATTCAAAGATGCTGGTATTATCCCCAAGCATAAAGCATAAACAAAAATCTATGCTTGTTTACAATGCCTCTACTCTAATTCTATTTTAAAATCTCTGCAGTCAGGCCTTTGCCCCAAAAATCCACCAAAATGCTCTTGTCATGTTAATGACATCCATATGGCTAAATCTAATGGTTCTCAATCCTCATCTTACATAATATACCAGGAATGTATGACATAGTTATTCATTTCCTACTTCTTTCTTCACTTGACTTCCAAGACATTACACTCTTGATTTTGCTCCTCTCCCACTGGTTGCTTTTTCTCAGATTGCCTTGATGGTTTCTTCTCTTGTTTCTCAGCTTTAGAGTGCCCAGAGACACATGCATTAAATTTATTCATTCATTCAGATAGATAGATAGAGAGATAGAGATATAGATAGATAGATGATAGATAGATACATATATAGAGGTTTATCTATAGATAGATATAGATATAGATGTAGGTAGATAGAGGTTTATCTATACTATCTATATCGATATCATCTATATCTATCTATATCTATATCTATACCTATATCTATACCTATATCTATATCTATATCTATATCTATATCTATATCTATATCTATATATCTACCCATCTTTGTAAATTGACTTTTGGGGGGTACAGTTTTATGAGTTTTAACAACTGCATAGGTCATGTAACACAACCACAATCAAGATACAAAACAGTTCACTCACCCTGAACTGAATTTTTGTTTTTCTCTTTTGTAGTTACATGCTCTCCCAACCCCTAATTCCTGGAAATTATTGACCTATTCTCCATACATACAGTTTTACTTTTTCCGAGTTATCTTGAAAATGCAATAATAGAACATGTAACCTTTTGGATCTGCTTTTTGTTGCTTAGCATAAAGCATTTCATATTTATTGATGTTGTGGGTTTTTTTAAATCAGTAATTTGATCATTTGAATTCCTAACCAATATTCCAATGTATAGTTACCTCAAAGCTTAAGTATTTGCTGTTTGAAGGTTATACATTTGCATTATTTTCAGGTTCTAATTACCGGGAATAATTCTATTATAAATATTTACAGTTTAGTTCACAAACACATCTTCATTTCCTTAGGGTAAACAGCAAAGAACAAAGTCACTGGGTCTCAAGACAAAAGTCATCTTAACTTGCTAAGTAGCTGCCACAGTGTTTTCCGAAGAAGTTATACCACCTCACCAAGAATATTAGAAAGTTCTAGCTGCTCTACAATTTTACCCGCACTTAACACTCATGTCTAAGTTCCATCTCACATGGTGCTTTCTGAAAAATTATCACAAAATAGACACCTTCCGATATCACTAACTATATAAACATTTAAGAAAATGTCAATGGAATACTAAGTATAATCTTCAATTGACTCTTAGCTGTGCCAGCAATTTTTAAAAATTGTTTATGTCTCACTTCAACACATTCTTTCTAAAAAAATGGACTAACATTATTTCTTGAATAAGTTTGCTTTGTATTTTTTTTGTTTGCCACTCATCACATTTGAGATGATGAAATGCTTGAATAAATTTCTTAAATGTCATAGCTCCTTGGAGACTATTTTCACTGCATAAATAGAATTTCTACATAAATTCCATTTTGGTACACTTTTCTTTTGTCCATTTCTTATATATGCTTCACTTGTGAGAATATTATTTTCTACCAATGAGGAGAACTGGAAGATTGTAATAAAATGACCTTATGTTTAAAAGTATTTTTGTTTTGTATCAGTACTTGTTGAGTCTCACAGTTGATTAAAACATTTTTTCTCAATACATTAACAAACTAAAGAAGTGAAGATTAAATTCACAGTTGTTGTACTTTGCCCAACCTTAGCTATGGTCTCCAGGCTTCAGGTTAACACAATTATTTGCAGAATTCTGAAAGACTTTAGTGTCCCAGTAGAGTTTTAATTCCGCACAAGTTTTCTAATAAGAGTTTATGTATACTTGATAATTTCCTATATTGCAATACAACTCAGAGAAATCTACCAATTCCTTTTAGGAATATGGTTTGAGGTTGACATCATAGAAATTTCCAAGTAATTCCTATCTAGTCTTTCCTTCTCATAAGGTGTTACCATTGCTACTTTTAAGACTAACTTGTAATAGACAATTCCGTTTTAATTTATTAAAAGCCGTCATCAAAAGAGCCATTTCAACATTGTAGTAAATACTTGTAACTTTTATGTTCAAGGTTTATATGGTAGGTTAAACACAGACTTTGGAGATAGACACTTTTCTTCAAGTCAGGTCTTCTTGTAGTGAAAGATATTGACTTGAATGTAATTCCTCAGTCTCTTTATCTTTTTAATAAAACTATTAAGTGAACAGTAAACATTGTGTATATTTGTGGTGTGTAGCATGATTTTCTCTTGTATGTATACATTGTGGAATGGCTAAAGCAAGCTATTTAAGCTACACATTACCTTACGAACTTATCGTTTTTTATGAGTGTAATAAAAACATTTCGAGCTTTCATGAAAGATAAGATACTGAAAAAAGCAGAAGAAAAGAAGCAAAACACGTATAAGGGAGTTCTAATAAGGCTAGTAGTGAATTTCTCGGCAGAATCCTTTCAGGCCATGAGAGAGAAGGATAATATATTCAGAATTCTGAAGGGGGAAAATTATCGATCAAGAATGCTGTTTCCAGCAAATCTGTTTTCCAGAAATGAAAAAGAAATAAAAACTTTCCCAGATTAACAAAACCTGATGGAGCTCATCAGCAGTAGACCTATTTCAAAAGAAATGTTAAAGGGAGTTCTTCAAACTGAAAGATAATGATGTGAATGAGTAACATAAAAATATAGGAAAGTAAAAAACTCACTGGTAAAATTAAATACATCGTCAAATTCAGAATATTCTAATACTGTAATGGTGGTGTCCACATCACTTATATCTTTAGTATGAAGGTCAAAAGACAAAACTATTGAAAATAATAACAACTAGAATAATTTGTTAAGGTCTATATCATATACAATGGTGTAAATTGTACATCAAAAGTGTAAAATATAGAGGGGTGGAGTAAAAATATACAGTAATTTTATATAGTTTGATTTAAATTGCTATAAGGTAAAAATAGTCTATTATAAACTATAAGTTATTTAACTAAAACTCATGGTAACCACAGAGTTTCTTTATCTTTAACATGAGATTAGCAGAATGCCTACCTCAATACATTAAGGTAAGAATTAAATGTGAAAATCCATTTCATACAGCTGACACCACACACATTGTAAATCTTTTAATACATCTTAACTATATCTACTAATATGACCCAAATTTTTTGGTATTACCATCAAGTCCACACTAGGGTCATGTTCTGACCCTTGTTCATTCATGAGTATGCATAAGTGAATGTGTCTACACAGCGTTGATTGGATTTTCTCATATTTAATCAGCTGTTTTTCTTTCTTCTCAATCACTCTGCCTTTTTGTATTTTCTTAGTATCTTTCTTTTCTACTTGTTTACACTTTCTTAACTTCTGGCTTTTGTATTAACAGCATTTATAGTATTTATTTAACAGTACTATAAATTCACATGGTAAACTATAAAGTTTATATGTATTGCATTTCCGGAATTTCAGTTATTTGTAAAACAAAATAATTAATGGAACTCCTGGAAATACAAACATTAATATTCACATTCAAGAAACTAAATTGCATTAAAGTAGAATATTGATGCTTCTTGACTTACAATGAGGTTATGTCATGATAAACCCATCATAATTCAAAAATGTTTTAAGTCAAATCATTGTAAGTCCATATGTTTCTCAATATATGATGAGATTAGTTCCAGAAAACCCAACACAAATGTAAAAAATCAAAAGTTGAACCATTGTATATTGGGGACTGACTGTATGTGCAAAGTGAATCACTATCAGATACATCATAAACTGTTAAACTCAAAAGCAACAAGTATAAAAGAATGCAAGTAAAAGGAATCAATGATAAAATTAACAGCTGACTGTTGACACCTGCTGGAGCCAGTAGACAGTGGCTGTTAACTAAGAATTTTATATCCACCAAATCTATTTTTAAATTAATCAAAATTAGAAAATTCACAGGGAAAATAATTTAGAGAATGTGTTGCTACCAGACTCTCCTTACAAAATAAATTTTTTTAATTTATAAGGATAAAACCAAGTGACCCTAAACAGTATTCAAATACACACACACACACACACACACACACACACACACACACACACACAGAGAGACACCCACCCAAGAATGCTGGTGAAGGTGGCCGGGCGCGGTGGCTCACGCCTGTAATCCCAGCACTTTGGGAGGCCGAGGCGGGTGGATCACAAGGTCAGGAGATCGAGACCATCCTGGCTAACACAGTGAAACCCCATCTCTATTAAAAATAGTTAGCTTGGCGTGGTGGCGGGCGCCTGTAGTCCCAGCTACTCGGGAGGCTGAGGCAGGAGAATGGCGTGAACCCGGGAGGTGGAGCTTGCAGCGAGACGAGATCGCGCCACTGCACTCCAGCCTGGGCGACAAAGCGAGACTCTACCTCAAAAAAAAAAAAAGAATGCTGGTGAAGGTAATTGTGCGCTTACTAATGACAGCATGAAAACACTTATGTCTTCTCCTCTTGGCTGATTCAAAAGCAATTGTATAGAGCCTAAGAAATGACCCCCTCCATATATGGTAATGACCCAAGTCCGCAAAATGGGAAACAGACAGTCTCTCTCACAAATGTTGTTGAGAAACTGAATATTCACATGTAAAATAAAGAAGTTGGAACATTGAATTACATAATATAAAAAAATTAATTCATGTCAAAATCAATTAAAACCCTACATGTAAAAACTGAAACTATAAAACTACTAGAAGAGATTACAGGGGAAAGCTGAAGGAAAATTCACTCTACCAACTATTATTTGTTTATTTGACACCAAAATCATAGACAATATAGGCAAAAATAAACAAATGGTACCACATTAAACTTGAAACTTCTGTGCATCAAAAGATATACCTAAAATTAAAATCACAACCTATATAATGAGAAAAATATTTTGTATCATATATGATAAGGAATTAATATTCAGAATATATACATGATTCCTATAGCTCGACAACAATGAGAAAATGTGAAAAAAAATTTAAAAGGCTAAATGTCTTGAATAAATAGTTTACCAAAGAGGTTATGCAAATTACTAACAAGCATATGAACTGCTGATCAATATTACTAATCATTAGAGAAATGCAAATCAAAATTAAAATTGGGTATCACTTCATGCTCATTGAAATGGCCACTATAAAAACAAAATAAAACAAAACAGAAAATAGCAAATGTTTGCAAGAGCACTGGAGGAATCGGATCCTTGTGTACTGCTGATTGAAATGTAAAATGGTGCAGCCATTATGAAAAATAGAACAGAGATTCCTAAAACAAATTAAAAATAAAGTTACAATATGACCTTGCATTTATACTTCTAGGTATATATCTAAAAAATTGAAAGCATGATCTTGAAAATATATTTTTACATCCAGTTTTCTAACAGGAATATTCACATTGGTCAACGTAGAAGCAACTTAAGTGTCCATTAACAGACATTAACAGAATAATAAATAAAGAAAATTTGGTATATCACTTGCATTGGTTATTCAGTGTTTAAAAGGAAAAATAATTCTGACACATGCAACAACATAAATGAACCTTGAACACATTTGCTAAGTGAAACACGCCAATCAAAAAAAACAAATTCTACATAATCTCACTTCTGTGAGGTAACTAAAATAGACTCCTGGAGACAGAGTATAGTGATGGTTGTTAGGAGCTATGAAGATTGGGAAATCGGGATTGTTTATTTGTATAGGGTTTCAGCACTGTGAGATGAAATTTTCTAGATTCTTGTTAACAATAATATAAATGTACTTATCATTACAGAACTATCCAGAGGGAAATTGTTAATATGGTAAATTTTATGTAATCTATTTGTTATCATAACTTTCTAAAATATCATTTAGGCTGGATGGAGGCTGAGGCAAATGTCACAGATGATGGAGACATGACCAGGGTGATGGGAATGGCGTTGAAGAGAAGTTGCCTGGCTTGATATGTAGTTGAAAAGTAGAACTTACAGGACTTGCTAATAGTCTACAGGTGAGGAACAGAAAAAGCTAACTTCCAATCAAAAGTCCTGAATAATTGAGTAGATGATGGTAAGAAAAGGTGAAAAACAGGTAAGGAAAAAACTGGCAGAAAACAAAGTTGTATAAAATAATATGTATATTGTTGCACTGTTAGGTCTGTAACATATGAAAACGTAATATATTTTTAAAATATAACACAAGAAGTGGGGAACAAAACCGTATTGGAGTAATAAAATGACATTAGATAACAACTCAGATCCATAGGAACCAAAACAATAAATTAGCCAGATAGTAAATAAGGTTTATGTAACAAACTTTATAAATATATACTTATTCTACTTTATCCTTATGAGATCTTTAAAAGGCATAAAGTACAGATTTACAATTACAAATAATATTGTTGAGTTTGTAAAACATATAGATGTAATGTGTATAAAAATAATAGATAAAAGGGGGAAAGGAGAATATATCTATACAGGAGTAATAGTTACATTAACCATTTATAGCTATAAGTTAGTATAAATCTCAAATAGAGTCTAATAAGAAAATTATGTATATAGTAAACTTTAAAACAAATATTAAGAGGCAATTATTAAAAAGTCAAGAAAGAACAGATGCTGGAGAGGCTGTGGAGAAATAGAAATGCTTTTACACTGTTGATAGGAACGACAATTAGTTCACCACTGTGCAAGACAGTGTGGTGATTCCTCAAAAACCTGGAACCAGAAATACCATTTGACCCGCAATCCCATTACTGGGTATATACCCAAGGGAATATAAATCATTCTATTATACAAGATACATGCACATATATTCATTGCAGCATTATTCACAATAGCAAAGACATGGAATCAACCCAAATGCCCACCAATGATAGACTGGATTAAAAAATATGGTACACGGCCCCGCGTGGTGGCTGACGCTCGTAATCCCAGCACTTTGGGAGGCCGAGGCGGGCGGATCACGGGGTCAGGAGATCGAGACCATCCTGGCTAATACGGTGAAACCCCGTCTCTACTAAAAATACAAAAAAATTAGCCAGGCGTGGTAGCGGGCGCCTGTAGTCCCAACTACTAGGGAGGCTGAGGCAGGAGAATGGCATGAACCCGGGAGGTGGAGCTTGCAGTGAGCCGAGATCACGCCACTGCACTCAAGTCTGGGTGACAGAGCGAGACTCCCTCTCAAAAAAAAAAAAAAAAAATGTGATACATATACACCATGTAATACTGTGCAGCCACAAAAAAGAGTAAGATCATGTCCTTTGCAGGGACATGGATGGAGCTGGAAGCCCTTATCCTCAGCAAACTAATGCAGGAACAGAAAACCAAACACAGCATGTTCTCACTTATAAGTAGAGGCCGGACAATGAGAATACATGGACGCAGGGAGAGGAACAACACACTCTGGGGCCTATCAGAGGGTCAGTGGACTGGGGGAGGGAGAGCATCACGATAAATAGTTAATGCATGTGGGGCTTAATATACCTAGGTGATGGATTGATAAGTGCAGCCAATCACTATGGCACATGTTTACCTATGTAACATGCCTGCATGTCCTCCACATGTATTCCAGAACTTAAAATAAAATTAATTTTTTTTTTTTGAGACGGAGTCTCGCTCTGTTGCCCAGGCTGGAGTGCAGTGGTGTGATCTCGGCTCACTGCAAGCTCTGCCTCTCAGGCTCACGCCATTTTCCTGCCTCAGCCTCCTAAGTAGCTGGGACTACAGGCACCCGCCACCACGCCTGGCTAATTTTTTGTATTTTTAATAGAGACGGGGTTTCACCGTGTTAGCCAGAATGGTCTCGATCTCCTGACCTCATGATCCGCCTGCCTCAGCCTCCAAAGTGCTGGGATTACAGGCGTGAGCCACTGTGCCCGGCCTAAATTAAAATTTTTAAAAAAGAGTATAATTCCTCCTCAAAATAAAAATAAGAAGGATGAAAGGGAACTTTTGAAGGTGATGGATATGTTTTTAGAATAGATTTTAATAGTGGTTTCACAGATATGTACTTATCTACAAACTCATAAACTTATGAGCCTTTAAAATATATTTAATGATACATTAAATACAAAAAGCTTTTTGTATGTCAATCATATATTAATAAAATGTTTTAAAAATAATATAACCCCCACAATAGCAAAAATAGCAATTAAATAAATTAAATGATACACAAGAAAATTCACTGAGTTCAAGAGGATGCAGTAAAGGAGCAATTGAGGAATAAAAATGAATAGATGAGATAGAAAACAAAACATAAAATGGCATATGTTTTAAATGATATCCATTGAAATATTAAATGGGAATGAATTTAAAAATACAGTTAAAAGGCAGAGATTGTAAAATAAATTTTTAAAAAGATTCAACATGATGTATACAAGAAACACATTCTATATTCACAGATACAAATGGTTAAATAATTAAGATGGAAAAAAGGATGTATGAGGCAAACTGTAACAATAAAAATGTTAGAGTAACTACACTAATGCCAAACAAAATAAACTTTAAAAAAGGTGAATGGAAATATAAACAAAGATATTTTAGAATAATTAAAGAATCAATCCATTAAAAAGACGTAACAATGATAAACATATATGTTCTTAACAACACAATCCCCGCAAATACATGAAGCAAAACCTGACAGAATTAATTGGTGGTGGAAATATCCAATTCAACAATAACTGCTGGTGATGTCTATACTCAATTTTCAGTAATAGATAGATCAACTAAACAGAGATCAACAAGAAGATAAGACATTTGAATAATACTATGAATCAACTACATCTAAAAATATTTGTAGAACAGTATCCCAAAACAGATTAATGGCTTTTTTTCTGATGTGCATATGGAATATTCTCATAAGCAGACCATACACTAGGCCATAAAACACAACTCAATAAATTTAAAATAATGAAAATTATGTAAAGCATGCTCTTTAACCACAATGAAATAAAATTTGAATTAATAACAAAAATAAATTTGGGAAACTCAAAAATATGTGACAATTAAACACAACCTACTACTGAATAACTACTGGATAAAGAAAATCAGAAGAGGAAATGGAAAATACTTTGATGTTAACTAAAACAAAAAGACAATATACTCAAACTTATAAGTGGAAGCTAATACGTTGTTCAGAGAAAAGTTGATAGCTATAAACACATATCAATCAAAAATACCTCAAATCAATAGCAATAACTTCTGCCTAGGACAATGAAAAAATAAGAGCAAACTAAACAGAATAAGTAGAATAAGTTAAATAATAAAGATTAGAGCAGAAATAAATGACAAAGAAAATAGAAAACTGTAGAGAAAATTAATAATACCTCAAGTCTCTAGCTACCATTCATCACCATAGTTCAGACAGCAAACAGAAAAGTGACATGAGGAGTGGTGGAGACTGACAGCATGGGGTTTCTATTCCATATTGTTTTTCATGATCAAATAGACTGAATTGTGCATTACATAGAGAGTAATTTCACCATGCTCACGCTCTTAGCTCATGTCCTTATACCAGTGCTTGAATTATTATAACAACCAAGAAAGGACACAGGGAATGGTGGAGAGAAAAAAAAAAAACAATGTATCTTTTAAGAATAGAAGGAGAATACAAAAATAACCTCAGGGATAAAATTGTTACCTTGACAAATTTAAATTTATAGAAAACAAGAGGTCTCCAATACTTCATTAAAGAGAGGCAGTAGTATATATGGAAGGCAGAATTATTTTACAGATTTTTGGGTAAGGTACTTTATACTGAGCTCACATTATCTTTGACGCTGAAAATAATGCAGATAATTTTTCATCTTTTATATAGATAAATTAAGTTCAAATCCAGGCGATATCTTAACCCATCCCTCCTAAATATAATTTAAAAATTGTTAGTGAAACATCAATTTAAACAAAATAAAAATTTTATTGTATATTGGATGTTACCCATAAAAATCTAGCATGAATCTAATTTTCTTTCCTATCAACTTTTCATTCTTATTAACTGGCCTGTCATTTCAAACAGCCATTTTTCCTCTAGTATACTGGAACAAACATCAGGTTTGTATGCAAAATAGTAACATTAGAATTCTTATTCTCTCCCTTAATAACATTGCAAATTAGTTTTTCAAATATTTTTATAGCCTTGTTTTCTTCTACAAAATATGAATATCAGACCCTAAGTTGTTTCTTATAAATACCCTATGAAGTGTGCTAAAATTTGAATTGCCTTTATTAATAGTAAGTATTGAGGTAACTGTTCTTTTTAAAGAATATGTAATTCTATGACTCCTTCAGTTTTCTTTTAAAAATTCCTCTATATACCACTTGGTACCCATTACTTTTAATGGCAAAAACAGCAATTATAAACAATCATGATCTTTCCAAGTTAAGAGTGCTATGTATGAGCAGTGTGTTCCCAGGATAAAATTTAATAAGAATTCATCCTACAATACAAGCTTTTCAAGTGATGTGTTCTGTGCTGGGAGTGCATTGCAGAGAAGGCAGCATGTCAGAGTATCTTCAGGAACTGGAAGGGCCTAGGTTTACTAATCAATCTCTCTACTTTCTATCTTGTGACACTGGACATCCTGAAACCTCATTTGATTTAAAGACAGACTCTCTATGGTGTAGTTACTTTGAAATAAAGTGACATAACTTGTAACTTCTTCTTAAGGAAGGTCAATTTTTTATGTGAACAGAGAGTAGATAATTACAATTGTATTTTAGTAATTACCCAAAACATATATATGCATCATGGAATAAGTCTTATATACCAGTCTTATTTACCAAGTCATAAACATGTAGCATAGCTCTTCTGCTTTAGAACAGATAATAATTTATTAAAATATTTGTAACACTGTAAAAAATGTTTGTATCCCTTAAAAGAGATTATTTGTCTTTAGAAAATGGGGCATGCTCATGCCTTAAAAATATGTTTAACAGATAGATACTTATTATATGTATTCTATAACAAACAAAAATTCATTTCATAATATACGACTACCATAAAAAACAACCACTTTAAAAATATTTCCTCCAGGCTGAGCACACGGTGGCTCATGCCTGTAATCCCAGCCCTTTAGGAGGCCCAGGCAGGAGGATCACCTGAGGTCAGAGGTTCGAGACCAACCTGGCCTAAATGGCAAAACCCAATCTCTGCTAAAAATACAAAAAATAGCCAGGTATGGTGATGCATGCCTATGATCCCAGCTACTCAGGAGGCTGAGGCAGGAGAATCACTTGAACCTGGGAGGCAGAGGTTGCTGTGAGCCGACATGGTGTCACTGCACTGCACTCCAGCCTGGGCAACAGAGCCATACACTGTCCCCCCTCTCCCTCCCCTCCTCAAAAAAATTTCTGATTATATTGTTGTTTACTGCTAATGAGAAAAATCCATGTATTTTATACTGCTTTAACATCCAAACAACTCTGTAAGATATTTTTTCATTTAATTTGTAGTATGTTATTTCTTTATATATTACAATATTACAAAGATTAAAATTCACTTTTGTTGTTGTTGTTGAGGCCAGGTTTTGCTCTGTCACTCAGGCTGGAGTGCAGTGGCGTGATCTCAGCCCACTGCAACCTCTGCCTCCCAGGTTCAAGCGATTCTCGTGCCTCAGCCTCCTCAGTAGCTGGGACTACTGGCACCCACCACCACACTTGGGTAATTTTTGTATTTTTATTAGAGACAGGTTTCACCATGTTGCCCAGGCTGATGAGTGGGCAACAGTGCTGAGCTCCAGTGATCCACCTGCCTCGGCCTTCCAAAGTGCTGGGATTACAGATATGAGCCACTGCGCTCAGCCCTAAATTCACTTTTTCTTGTTTTTATTTCTATTTCGTTTTTATATATGTCCAGAATGACAGGACAATATTTAGAAGAGATTGGAAACAACCACCACCACCACCACCAAATGATCAATCCACACATTTATATACTCAGTTATACTCTTAAATGCCTTGGATTATTTATTTATTTATTTATTTATTTATTTATTTGACGGAGTCTGGCTCTGTCACCCAGGCTGGAGTGCAGTGGGACGATCTCGGCTCACTGCAAGCTCCGCCTCCCTGATTCACGCCATTCTCCTGCCTCAGCCTCCTGAGTAGCTGGGACTACAGGTGCCCGCCACCACGCCCGGCTAATTTTCTGTATTTTTTTTTAGTAGAGACGGGGTTTCACCGTGTTAGCCAGGATGGTCTCGATCTCCTGACCTCGTGATCGGCCCGCCTTGGCCTCCCAAAGTGCTGGGATTACAGGCCTGAGCCACCACGCCCACGCCTTGGGTTATTGAAAGATTTTGTTAACGTTAATTAAGTGTTTCAAAGATGATGGTACATGATATTAAAATAAGCATTCCTTTGCAAAATATTGATTTGAAGGTTAGGAATATGAGCTACTCTGAGAGTCATTTAAAAGTTGATCTAATTAATATTTATTCCCACTTTAATTTTATGTATTTCTAAATTGCTAAGAATTACATTAACCAACACATTTGTCTATTAGTCACCTCTTTCCCCTGCCGTTCTGAAAATATGCTACAGACATTCTATTAGGGGACAGCTCCAGTAACAGAAGGTGGAACAGATGGCTTATTTCCAATTTTATTTTTCCAATAATAAAAGGGCTTTCATTGTTGTTAACATCTAAAGTTCATTCAAGAAGATACCTACTATGACAGATTTTTTTAAAGAAAAAACGTACTAGCTAATTAGCTAAGAAAGAAGCTTTGCATTTTGTGACAGAAGCTTTTTCTATTGACTTTAATCAAAAGAAAAATTAAACTGATAGAAATTTGCCTTTTAAGTTGAAAAATCTTTTGTTTTTCCCAGTTTAGCAATAAAAAATAAGGCAAAAATAGAAAAATAATGACAGCAAAGAAGAGGGAAGGTGAAAAATGATGAAGTCCAGAAATAAGAAATATTTTTTAGTTTTATTTTCAAAATGTAATGATTTATGGAGAAGATAATCTATCCTCAAAGAAATACAATTTATATTTGTTACCATGAAGGTTTTATATTTTAACTTCATCTTTTTTCTTTCTGAATCTGTTTATTTTTAAATTTGTTTTAAATCAGAATTTAATATACACACATTTTATTCTCAAAAAATATATGTGGGCCAGGCACAGTGGCTAATGCCTGTAATCTCAGAACTTTGGGAGGCTGAGGCAGGCGGATCACTTGAGTTCAGGAGTCTGAGAGCAGCTTGGGCAAGATGGTGAGACCCTGTCTCTACAAAATATTAGGAAATTAGCCATGCACGGCAGTGCACGCCTATAGAACCAGATGCTTGGGAGGCTGAGATGGGAGGATCCCTTAAGCCCAGAAGTTAGAGGCTACTGTGAGCCTTGCTTGGGCCAATGCAGTCAAGTCTGGGTGACAGAGCGAGGCACTGTCTCAAAAATAAATAAAAATTATATATATATGTGAATTTCGATTCCATTCTTTTGCAAATTGGTCAGTCTTGGTATAGGAAATGAAATATAATAATATAATAATATGATATTTAAGACAAGAACATACATAGAAAAAGACTATATAAAGGAGACTAAGTAGAAGCAAATAACAGGGTGAGAGTAAATGATATTCTGGGTCAGTTTTAACTCAGTGGCTGGGGTATTGACAACATTATATGTGAAGAAATAACTGGATAGCTAAGATCCAATTGCAATGAAAAAGAACAAAGAAAACTGTGTTAGGTTGTGTATTTATGCACTGACCAGGTGAAGAGGCAGTGAGATATAGTGTTTGATGTGCATGGTCTCCTAACTTGGGTTAAAGTCCAAACCCTGATTCTTCCCCTTAACAATGTTATATTGGCTTCAGTCAGCTGTTAACTCAATTGTGCGTGCCTGTGGGATTATAACTCCAGTTTTGCCTTTTGAAACTCCAGTATCTCCCAGTACTTATGCAAATACACAATATCTGAATAGTGCTCCCGAGAAAAGATCTACTGTCATTGACCTGTGACATTGAGGGAAGATCAAGTATACAATCCAACTCAGTGGTTCTCAACCAGGGGTGATTTTCTCCCCTAGTGCATATTTGACAATTTCAATATGTTGCAATATTAGTGGATGTCACACCGTAAGAGGGCAACTGGTGTTAGCGTTACTGACCTCTAATGGGGAGGAAGCAGGAGTGGTGCTGAATGTATGCTACAGCTTCCCAGAACAAAGAAATATCCAGTGTGTACATAGCACTGACATAGGTCAGTTTTATAAGAGTTGAGTATTTGCACATACAATTTTTGAGCCACAAAATAGGAAAATGGAAGTAGTGCATTTAAAAAGTCATATTGTATTTGTAATGATAAAAGTCTTAAAATCTAATATCAAAAAGTTATTGTTAAATATCAAGAATATGTTATATTAAGCTCCAGAATCAGATATTTTTAACCAACAAATATGCTAATAATAATGATTTTCTGCTGGCATGATGAGGTTGAGTAGGTGTAATTTTAATTTGCTAAAGTATAAAATTTGAAGATAAAAGTAATCTATATCTGTCTAAAACAACATCAGAACATTCTAGATTCCACAAGTCAGTATTTGACAAGCATGAGCCATTTATTTCTTTATGTTGTGCAATACCTAATGGCTGTAGCTAGTTACATCATATCCACTTTCTCAGCACAATATTTATTCAGTAAAAAGGCGATAAGTGAGAATACAATTTTTAATTTGGTGATAATCAGTCTATATTTACTTAATATATAACTCTAACCCAGATAAAACCCAGATAGAACTTTTAGTAAAACAACTCAGAAATGTAAATTTCCTTAATAAAAAAATCCATAAATAACATACAATAGGCAATCATGTGCAGACTAATTATCATGGTTTGTTTCAGAGGCTATATATGAATTTAATGGTTTTGCTGCCAGATGTGTTCAACACACCCATAACACAGACATAACGTGCTTTGCCTCATTGAGTGCCCAAGATGTTTAGATGTTTTCATTCTTGAAATGTAATGGAGTACTTTTAAAAAGGCATAACAAAAAAGAAAATAACAGTAGTTGTTTAGTAAATTGGAGATATTTTATAAGCAGAGACATTGTAGCCTTGTATCCCCTATGCTTATTTCAATAACTTACACATTCTAGTTAAATGTTTGTTAAAAAATAACTAGGTACAAATTTCAACTTAGGTAAATATTTAATATTTATTATTTTGATCACATTTTATTAAGCATTTATATTGCAATTATATCCATTAAATAGCTAATGTTTGTATCTTCCGTTTATCAAGGATTTTATAAAGCATTTTCTTGTACATTAACCTAATTTGACCTCATAACATAAATAATGTCTGTTTCCATTTAATTAATAAAAAATTTTGAATGAATTAGACTTATTTACAAAACCACATTATAGAGCAAAATAAAGGAAATTTAAAAAAAAAAAAAAAAAAGAAGGGGAGAAGGAAAGCAGGACCAAAAAAAAGGAAGGAAGGAAGGAGGAAAAAAGGAAGGAAGGAAGGAGGAAAAAAGGAAGGAAGGAAGGAAGGAAAGAGAGGGAAGGAGGAAAGAAGAAAGGAAGAGGGATGGAGACAGAGAGGGAAGAAAGGAAGGTAGGAAGGAGAAAAGAAGAAAAGAAAGATAACATTGTTTTTAAAATCAGGGTTGAATGTGGGTGTTGCTCCTAATCTGCTGAAGCCAAGTTTCATTAGGAATTCAATATATTAATTAAACACAGGGAAGAGTAAATGGTACACTGCAAAGTCATACTGTATATATTTATTAAAAATACATTTATTTATCAAGACATCTACTTTTATATTCATGTGCTGAGTAGACAAAGACACTGCTGCCACAGGTTGGTATCAATGTTGTGTACCTAAAATAAATGTTCTCTCTCTGAATGGTGTAAAAAATGTGTGTGGGGTGTGTGTGTGTGTGTGTGTGTGTGTGTGTGTGTGATATAATACATAAATATATTTTCCCATAGAACTTTGTCATCAAAATCCCCAAAATAGAGAAAAAATGTACTATAAAAATTACTACAAAAATGTGTAAAAAGTTAAGGTAAATTTAAAACAATAAAAGAAGTTTAAAAACAGTTGGTGGGTTGTTCGCAAAGCTCCTTTGCATTCTCCTTTGCAATGTGATTTGCCTGCTCTTCTCATCAATGGTAGAGACTATTTCCTCAACCCTCGAATTCTGAACGTGTCTTGTGACTTGTCTAGGTCAATAGAGCATGGAGGAAGTGAGATTTTGACCATCCAAAGCCTAAGTCTCAAGAAGCTTTGTGGTTTTCCACTGTGCTCTTTTGAAACACAGTCCTAATGTGGCCATTTAAAGGAGCACAATCTAGTGCAATCCAGCCTACTGGAGGATATAAGATCTGTAGACTCTCAAGCCAGCAGCAAGTGACACTTCCAGGCACGTGAGTGCCAGTCTTGAATCATTAAGTTCAAGTTTCAAGGCACCAGATGAATGCAGCCTCACAAGTGATTACAGAGAAGACAGCAAAAGTACTTTTCTGCTGACCCTAGCTCAAATTGCCAGCCCACTCGTGTGCGAACAATTGAAAATACTGCTGTTTTAATCTAGTAAATTTGAGGATGGTTCCTTATACAGCAATAGGTAACTGACACATAGAGTTTCCTGAGGAAGTAATGTCTGCTAGACATGGAAACCCTGTGGTGAAGTAGTATGGAAAGTTACTGAGGACAGAAGGGAGATCAGATTCTCTAGAAGATACTGTAGGTTGTTTGTTGGAAGCTGCAAGTATTTTATTATTTCTGGAGCAAAGCTATGTATAGGAAGAAGTGTGGCCCAAGACTTTATCCGAAAGATCATATAATTTTGAGGATTTTAAATTTTATAAAGGTGCAATGGAGCATTACTGAAATATTTTTTAAAGGGGTGTAAACCTTATTTTAATTTTAACATGATCACTCCAGTAACTAAATCTGCAAACACATTTTGAGAAAAAAACATGCACACCGGCCATTGGGGCAGATATTTTAATGGTTTAGCAAAAGGGGATGGAGAAGCAAAGTAGAAGCTTAATAATAATTTATTTAAAGAAAGAAAAAAGATTTAATTTAGTTTGGGATTAGTTCCATTGATATTAAAGACATTTTATATGTGAAAAAATGATTACAACTGTGATCCACACAAAATTGTAAAGATTCTCATTTCAATAGAAAATCTTACATAAAAAATCAGAGGCCATATCTTATATAATGGATAAGGTAAAATAATAAATTAAAACAAGATAAAGACTAGCACATATATTTAAATTGATGGTATTTTGAAATGTACATAATATAGTTTAAAAGGAAATGTAATATTATCCGAAGACTTATAATCTAAAAGTCATAATTTCCTGTTCAAACGGTTTGTAGATTTTTAGTTTCATGAAGAACAATGTTGAAGTATAAGGAAAAAATGTTTTTATTTAAAATCACCACAAGCAATAGTGAGAAGTAGCTTTTGATTTTTTTCTATCAGACAGAGTTCTGTGCAATTTTTCATTGTAAATAAATAGCTGGAATAGGAGCATAGAAAATATTATTCATCTCTATACCCAAATGTAAAATAAAGGGTACTGAGATACATTGGAGGAGACTGAAAATGCCACTGCATTATAAATAAATGAAAGCCTAGAGTTTCTATTGTCTTTCATTCAATACAATGGTAATAGCCAACATTAAATACGTGTTACTACTATCAGAAGTGGGAAAAATTAACATACTCTCTGATACTTTCCAGTAAATATTTTAGAATACATCATCCTTCCTATTGTCCTGTATTCAATAAAGTAAAATTAAGGGATATAAATGATTATTTTCCAAAAGTAGGTTTTATTCTGTGTTGGTCTTCTTTTAACAAAGGTTTTGCCTGCTGTCAGAACAACTGAAGATTCTAACAGCTGTGTGGCTGACACATTCATAGAGTGTGGCTGTAGAATGGCTGGCAACTCTTATACAAGTTATTAAGTAAATCTTTCAACGAGCTCTAACTTTTCTTGATGTGATCCAATGCATTTAAAATTAAAAAATATGCTTTTTAGGAAACAGTACACTTATAATCTTTTGGTGATGAATTTAACCATAATAATGTTTCATTGCAAAACATAGACAAATCTTGGAATGATTTTTTTCCTTAAATAATAAATCAGTTTTTCCTTATCCTAGTTTTTCAGACTGACTACAAGTATTGGACAGGAAATGATTTATATAAATGAAATGTTGCCTATAAAAGAATTTTTGTCAAAAAATTCACAGTTATAAACCATATGTATTTTTTCTAGTTCACTTTTACTCAAAGCCCCTGAAAATATGAATGAGAAAATAACTGTTCCTCTTACTTTCACAGAACCAGCCATCATGCCAAAGTGACTTTCAGCATTGAACTACACCTCACAATACCTGCATTCTCTTTTTTACTACAACTTGCTGGTAAGACATTGAGCATCTCACTTAATAATTTTATTTGTGAGCTTAATAGAGATATACATTATTTAGTTTACCTATGTGATGTGCTTCCAGGGACAGAAAAAAATGCAAAGTTCATTCAGAAAATAATTCCATACCGATAGTGTTCCAATGATTGAAAGCCAAATTATGTATTCAATGCTATTTGTATGAGGTCAACACCTGAACATATTATTAGACATTAAAGTATTTATTCTAATACTTGCTCAGATTATCTAGACTTAAATGCAAAAGTATTGACTTACGCCCCTAGCAAAAAATTCCTGAGATTAACAAATAAAGACAAATTCATGAGATTAACAAATAAATACAAATTCATGAAATGGAGCACTGACTGTAGACTCAGACAAAATTGCTGAGGTTATGATAGAAATGTGTGTGTATGGAAAGATAGCTAAAGAAAATTGCTGCAAAGAATCTCATTTCTGCATAATTAGGCTTTAATCACTGAAAAACAGGAAGATTGAAACTTTTTCCCTTTATTCACTGTTTTTATAATATCTGGTACAGGATCTGACACCTCTCTCTCTCTCTAGTCTCTCTGCTTCCCTCTCTCTCTCACCCCCTTCCTCCTCTGTCTCTTTACACACACACACACACACACACACACATGCCCGTGTGAAGGCATACATTACAATTTTGACTATGAGCAATTTTGGAAAAGATACACGACACAAAACATAAATAAAAAGTAATCAAAATATTTTTTGAGGTATTTGTTTGGAAGTAAAAAAACTACTCCCAGACACCTTTTAATCTTTGTGTCCACAAATAACCATTAATAACATTTTATTCTGTTATTAAATAACCATTAGTAACAATAATATTTTTAGAAATATTTCTTAAAATAGGCATTATTTTTAAATGCCCTTAAAGATGTAAGATATGATATGTTAAGAGGCATTGCTTTTTATACTCTCATATGTGTTTCTTTAATGCTAACCTGTTATTGGCAATTAGATTTCACAAAGATAATGAAGTTAATCTGGGATTAAAAAAGGTTTATTGTCAGCCTCTCCTTCTATGACTCATTCTTTTAATACCAACTTAAGACAATAACATTAACATATTATCTACCATGTCCTACATACTATTCCAATAGCTTTTCAAATACTGAATGATTTAATCATTTAATAAACTTTTGATTTTTATAAGGGTTTTAGAGATAAAGAAACTCATTTTACAGAAAAAGAAAATAAGAAAATGAAAGCAATTTATGTTCCAGAAAGTCACATGCTAGTTAATGGTAGGACTGGTGCAATTCTCCTAGCTGTGTTTTCACTCACCACTCTACACTACCTCATCTGCTTACGCATGGATGATGTGATTTTATTATCACATGCACTGAGAGTTCTAACATACAACTAGCTAAACTAAATACTTCCATAAAAATACGCAGTAATTATTTTAAAGTCATTTAAAAATATATTGCCAGTGAATCAAGTGTTTTAGAATGCATACACAAAGCTACAAAAAAATACTTCATATAGATACTTGTATTACCTGAATCATACTGATCACTCATTATTCAGCCATCTAAATACTCAAACGCACTACCATCAATAGTCTGGTTCATTTATTTTTAATAATATTAAGATACATAATGTGGTGTTATTTTAAATGGAGTTGGAAGTAGAATTTACTCATTTTTCCTGACATGGGAAATACGATCACTAGATCAAACTGTACTATCAATGAGCTGAATATTTGGAGAACATTATTTGTCTCTTTGTAAAATCAATTCATATGACCTGCTCTAATTGTTTTTATGCAAATGTTGCATAACATTTCCATGTTATGAAGGCCTGCTTCTTATTTTAGTTTGTCCTGGAACAAACTATAAAAATTAAGTGCAAGACAAATATTTCACCAAATCATTCTCATTCCATTCTCATTAGTTTATAGAATTTGCATGCTTTTTATCAAATTACATTTTCTGTGTTTTACTTTCTCTTATTTTCCTTTTGACTTGTTTTTGTCATTTATTCATTTTAATCTCTTGCGTTATACATACATTCTACTGCATTATGCACATACACATGCATATATAAGCTACTTATTAACTATAAACTATTTGTAAACATAGTTACAAATAATACTGAATAATAGAGAAATATACAGGTGTACTAATTTGTTCTCACACACTAATAAACATATGTCCAAGACTGGGTAGTTTATAAAGGAAAGAAGTTTAATGGACTCACAGTTCCACATGGCTGGAGAGGCCTCACAATCATGGTGGAAGACAAAGGAGGAGCAAAGGCACATCTTACATGGCAGCAGGCAACAGAGTGTGTGCAGGGGAACTGCCCTTTGTAAAGCCATCAGATCTCAAGAGACTTATTCACTATCATGAGAACAGCATGGGAAAAACCTGCCCCCATGATTCAATTACCTCCCACTGGGTCCCTCCCACAACATGTGGGGATTATGGGAGCTAAAATTGAAGATGAGATTTGGGTGGGGACACAACCAAACCATATCAAAAGGTAAATGAATTAAATAGCATTATAAAGGTATTAGGGCTTTATTTTTCATTTAGAATGTCATAAACACTTTCACATAAATTTATGTAATTTGGGTATATGAAACTTTCAATACTTGCCTAATCTACCATTAAAAATCTGTACCACAGTTAACTATTTCTGACACAGTGGTACATCATTCAGAATTCATGCCATTCAATCTTTATAGAACAGTAGCCTCAGAATATCTATAGGTGGCAAACAATGTTTCCATTGGTGGTCTTGCTTACATGCTCCCTTGTCAGTAGTATTTATTCTGAATCTGCTCAGTGTTCTCCAAATTGCTCACCAGCTTCTGTGTTTAACTCAGTAGGTTTCTAACAGCAGTTATTGATTTATGTGTATTTCACAGAATGAATTTAACATTCTAGATTTATTGTTAGTTAACACAAAAGCAAATATTCCTCAAAATTTTCCTCTCAAAGTCTGACATTCAGAAGCCCCTCACTCCATGGAGGCGCACAAACTTTCATGATGCAAAAAAAACTTTTTATTTTTGTCAGAACCCAAATTCTCTCCCTTTATTACAGGGAGATTGTTGGTTAGGTAAATGTTTTGAGCAGCATAATGACATGAAGGATAAGTCTCTCCTAGGGCCATGTTTAATAAAAAACAGCTATACAATGTTCTGTCAGTCAGGTACTGGCTGTAATTTTGAAAGGAAATTTTTCTCAGACAAAGACAAAAGTTATATTTTACTCATAGTAGTGAAAATTTACTAGAGAGTGGTGAAAAATGTTATAGGTCAGGAAAAATAAGACAGTGAGATAAAAATAAAGATATATAATGGATAGGTAAATTTAATTTTTGCTTTTGAATTTATGCAATTAGAATACTGTGTCTGTGTTCCTATGAAAACTTCACTAGTGTCTCCATGTCTACTTTGAGACATATATCCATATATTAATATTACCTCAGTGTGACGACAGAACAATAGCAAGACTGCTGTTTTGTGGACATCTGTAGCTCTGTGGCACTATTATTTCTTGGATATGAAGATTATCTCATATTCTTCTCCAAGTGTTTCCTCTTGGAGCTCAAAAATAATTAAGCAAATAGACACCTTTGAAAAATTCAATGAGGCTTATTATGCAAGGAAAATATTGTTTCTATTTGTATTTCCTTAAACTTTATATTCAATTTGCAATTCTCACTGTACTTATAAAAGAAATACGTTTTTTGATAAAATTAAGACCACTTAAGTCTTCACTTGTTCTTTGGTTTATGCTCAATTAACTTGTAAATTTGACAGATTAAATTTTTCTAAACATCTATGACTATTTATAAACTTCATAAAATAATCAAGACACTTCAGATTACAATTACAAATTCAATTGCCTAATTCTTTCAAGCACTTCAAAACACTTAATATGTGAGACTTTAAGAGCCAGTATGCAATTTGCTGAATTCCATCTGCCTGCCAGGGAGACCACTGATGTGCCACAAGGTTAAGAATTTGTGAATTTAAAACCATAGGTAGAGATGTTGGAGAGCAGAGCTTGAAGACATAGACCTGAATGAGGATAAATTATTTTAATTTGTGCCATAGATAATGCTAAGACAGAAGTGATATTACAATGGCTGTAGGATGTTTGTAGACTTGATCCGATGTTCCTCTCTACAAGTTTCCAAGGATAACTAATATATCAAAAATAAAGACATATTGAAATTATACACATAAATCATATATATGAGTGTGTATATATGTATATATGTGTATACATGTGCTAGGTTGTTACCAATTATTAACAAATGTCTTATCACTTGGATATATTATAATTACGTATTTTTAATTTTTATGTTCCGTTAATGAAGTTTCAACTGTTTAGTGCAATAGCTATCATAGTGATAAGTTTCTAAAATTACCTTGAAAATTTGGTGTTATGCATCTTAAAATTCTAAAGCAATATTTATTGCTGAAATAACTAGTTTTTTCAATTTTGCTTTATCAACTGGATTTCTCAGGATTCTGTTACCTATATAAACTGATTTTAAAAAGAAACTGGTTATGTTCCATGTGAAAAGATGAGATATGTAGAAGGATGTTGACTATATTTAAAGTATAAAATAATCCATTTGTAATAATATAATTATTACATACACGAGCATACATAAACACATATACAAATGCTACAGTTTGAAACATTTTGAAATTGTAACTCCTCTAGATTGTCTACATTGTATTGGTTTGCACTATTTTATGACTAATAACAACAATATGGGATGGCAAAGGTTTTTAAGTGCTTTCTAGTTTCTAGGCACTACCCTAAGCATCTTCTCCGTTACTGGCTAGGGTTATTTTTCATTTTTAAAATTGTTTCACAAACATTGTACGTGGTCTTTGAAATTATTTAATTTAGATTTATTGTGATGTTAATATTTTTATTCTCTTGTTTCATATTTCAAGTGAAAAGGAAGTTATCTGGTCTATTATTATTGTAGTGCAACTAAAAGCTTTTATTTTACGTTGCATTCGTGAATCATAATAATTACAATGTGACTGCTCATATTTTTTTTCACTTTGAAATCTTTGGATTTGTCATGATTTAAATCATCTAAGACTCTCCATATTTTCCCAAACTCTGAAAAAACTTCAAAATTAAAAATTCACAAAGTGCTGCCCTCAATGCCTTTTTAGAGAAAGCTTTCTGGATATATATATTTCAAGTATATTTCATCTTTATTGGTTTGTTCTTATTTTCTTTCTTGAATCTGTTGTGAAAATATTCCATATATTTATTTAAATATTCATATTAATGTTCATAAACTATTTACATTTAAAATTTTTAACTGTTCTTCATAATTTGATTATTATCCTGTCTCTTCAGTATCACTAAATAAATATTGTTGCTTTTTCTACCCCAGTTGTTTTCAGCAGATGTGTTCATTTCTAATTTTTAAGATATGTTTGTGTTAATTTTATTGTTTTTTTCTTGTTTCTAACTCAAATCATTTATCTTTTAATTTTTATAATTAATTTATCCCTTAAATGTATTATAAACAACACTATATTCAGTTCAACTGATAACTGGATAAATGAATCACCTGGCATACGAATTTATTTAGTCTAATTTAGATTTCTTGGAATATTTATCACATTTTATATAATTATTCATAGAATGTTTACCTACCTCAACGGACCTTAAACTCACACATATATATAGTTATATATGATATCCCTATAGTTGGGATATATTTATAGTTGGGATATATCCTAACTATAAATTGTACATATATATCCCATTCAGCATTATGTTCCCTTTGCCTAGCAACATGTCTGGCATGTAAAACTTATCCAATAAATGTTAGTTAAAATGGATCTAGTCTATCTACTAGTCATGTATATTGGCATATTTTTATCTTATAAAGTTATATTTAACTCCACAGTTAAAAAGAGTTTCTTTATTATTCTTCCACTAGCATTGGAACTAATTTATCCATTTCAGTATAACTCTAATTGGCATATGATAGTAAACTGTTCTATAATAACTGTTACATAAGAAATTGTTTTAGTATAAATTATCTTCTTCTAATAGCTTTTTTTTTTCCCGCAGCAGATTTCTTTTTTTTTTTTTTTTCTGGTAGCAGAAATCCCCATTTGATGCCAATTCCTCATCATCATAAGGGAATGTAATCAAGGATTCTTTCCTAATAATGTGAATAGATGTGCAGTGACTGACAGAGGTGGTACAGCGGGTTTATTCTTCTTATGGCAGTGATCTTCTGACTGTAACCCAAGGGTGAAAGCTCATGCACTCTTAGCAACAAGTAAATTGTACGAACATGCCCCAGATATTTCTTCATTTATTTGTAAATTATATACAGTTTAGTCTATTCTGAAAATATACAGTTTTTTAAAAATTGTAAAACAAATATGTTTTTCTTTACTGTGTAAAATTAAATATCACTGAGAGTAAAAATATTTATTTGGCCAATTTCGTTCACTTGGGAACTTCAGCACTCGCTGATCATTAGAGTTATCCTGATTTTTTCCTTCTTGAGTACTGATGTTGAGCTAGTCCTTTGTTAGTCCCCTTATTTTATCAATAAATATTTTTCTTAGTATCAGTTACTGTTGCTTGCAACTGGAGAAAATTAATAGGGAATATAAAATTAGTAAAATTAGTATTAAAGTACAGATAAGATGCCCTCAAGGACATGTGTAGTATTGGGCCAAGATGAAGAAAAAGCCAGAGATTCCTACTATCACAGACATATTCAAAGGATTGAAGGAATGCTTAGAACACTGAAAAGGGTACTTGGTTCTACACATATTAGTCAATTTGAGGAAGAGATTGCATGACTCTGCTGGCACTCACCAAATGCTCATACGCTCCCATGGCCTTCCATTATAAGTTGCTCCTTGTCACAAACTTCACTTAAAGTAAACATACAAAATAAAATTTAAAAAAGGAATAAAAAATGTTTGCGTCTTTGTTTCATTTTTTTCTGCCTATAGTCAGTTAACTTGTCTCTGTGGGAAATAATTTAAATTTATTTTTTCAAAATTACCTAATTTTTCAAGGGATTGTATTGTAAAATAGATCCAGCTTTATCCATTCTCTCAATTGTGCCTTATGTCAGATTTATTTAATTTATATCTATTTATAAACAAGACCAATTTACCACCTGCAAAAATCCATGCAGAAATGATTCTCCTGTGGCTGGAGGTACTGTGATTTGTGTTTTAAATAATTTCATATGTAACCTAAATCTCTTATAAAATTCATCTTTACCTTCCTGTCTGTTACGAAACCATGCTGTGCTTTGTTGAAATAGGTGAGCATGCACGTTGATCACCATTTTTAATCATATCATAATTCTTATATTCTAATAATCATAAATTACATTTTCTCTTTGCAGATGATTACATTTTATGTGAGGTTCTTTAAAGCAATGTAACATTAGTGGTTAATATATTTCAGAAGCTCCAATGAGTTCTTAGAAATCTGTTCTCTGAATTTTAAACAATGGAATAGATATATCATAATTTCTATTGCTACAGGTTCTAAAACAAGACAAAACTACAAGCAACTGTTGTTTTCAGGATCAATCATTTACATAATTATATAAATTATAACTTCCATATCCTTTGAATCTTGCTTATTTAAATTTGTATATTTCAGACATCTTGCCCTTGTTTTTCATTGTTGTGATGTTGGTTTTAATAATACTAGCTTAGCTTTGTCACTCGATAACTGCATTTGTGTTGCTCCCCATCAAGTTAATTTTCTCTCCTATAAGCCTAAGTCTTCAGAAAACAGAAACAAAGTGTACCCACTTCTCAGACTGAGCTCATTTCGTGCTGTTTTGTTTTTTTCCCGTTTGAATTAGTCACTGTTGTGTGAAGACTCTAAAATCTCTGTTTCACCCATTATATTATTTTTTAGGATATTAAAATAAAATTTCAGAAACATTTTACTTTCTCATGACTAAGATATATGTAAATGTTTTGAGGTAAAAATCATTGCCCAAAAGTATGAATTTACATTACTTCTGCTATATATCACAAATAAGACAAGATTGTCCTATTGACAGTTTGCTTTATTTATTATTATTATTTACTAATAACTCCTAAAGATCACAAGCCAGACATTTGCATTGTTGTTTATAAAGCTAATAGTCTTATTCCCTAGTCTTTTTCATGTTTGATTATACTCTGTCAACCCTTTTCTTAAATTTTGTTTCTGTTTCTTGCATAAAAAAAGGATTTCCCCTTGTATGGTAAATATAAATTTTGGAAGACTTGAAAATAAATTCAAAGTGAATACAAAATAAGTTGAATTTAATCTTTAAAGTTTTAAAAAATATACAATGGTCTTTTCGATTATTAAAACATAACACTTTCTAATTGTTTCTGATCACTTTTGGTAAAAGAAAATATCATTTGAGGCTGTTACTTCTGAGGTGGAAGGTAGGAAGAAAAGTGATCTTTTCAATTAATATTGTAATGTATTCACCTTAACAAGTGCAAAAATTTCTCATATAATCAAACTCCAATTAAAATATTATCAGATTCCTTAAAATAATCATAATTATAAAATAGTAAATTGACAATGACCAGAATGAGGTATTTATTGCCATGTAAATCTAGTTATTTTCAGGAGGAAAATTATCATACATAATTTATAGTTGAAGAAATTGGAAAATACGAGCAAGGCTGAAATGTCAGTAAATCACAGTATGATATTAAAAAATATTTCTTACCCTAAAACATGTAAAATTTTAAAGTGTTTGCCCATAACAGTAAAGAAGAAAGTGAGATTCTTAAACCGAAATCTGTTTTTTGACTTAGTTAGTGCTGAATACATACATGCTTTTGTATACATTTTTGTAGTTTATATTCATTTTTGTTTAATAACTTTTGCTTGTTAAAATGTATATGTAAGAATCATACAGTTTTTTGAGAAACATGGATGGAATTTCACAGCTGATTGAGATGAAGCTGTATCTTTAACTTTATGCAAAGAAAATATATGATTCTTTTCCTCTGATCCACAATTTTATGATTTTAATTGACCCCGAAACAGGTAAAATTTCTTTTCCCAAATCTTTCTGAAAAAATTTAGTAACAGAGAAAATTTACATTATAGAAGTTAATCTGAATCTGATACTTGTCTAATCAGATAATTTTATAAAACATCACTGCTAAAAGTAGAATAGAGAGGGCTGTTTGTCCAAAAGCCTTATCAATATGTTAAATATATTTAAACAGATAATGAGTTTACTGATGTATCATATTGTATTGACAAAATACTTTTGTGTAATGAAAAAGACTGCCAACAGAAACAGTGTTGACTTACCTACTGTCAGTTCCTCACTTTGTACCACTTCCAGATCCTAACAGTTCCATATTAAAAGAACAGACACTGAAAAGTCATTAAAGAATATGGACTGTTGAAGATGTATTAAGCAAGTTAGTAGAAATAATCACTCAGCAAAAAAGAAGAGGCATGTGGTAATGTGAGGAGGGGAATATGTATGTATATGAATATATATTTTGCATTTATTTACAAAGAAAGAGTGAAATAGAATAAAGAAAATTATCTATGATTACCTATTGATGTTCCTTGAAAGATTTTATCCTTTATTTGAAATTCTAAAACTCTAATAATTATTTTATAACCTGTTACATCATTTTCCATTCTTCCCTAAGGATAAATACGTTTGCTTTCTAAATAAATTATGAGCATCTTGAATAACAGGGCTATATTCTATTATTCTTTCATTATCTCAATTTACTTTGCACGGTGTTTGATTATTTTTGGATAGACAGAAACATAGATAGATGACATAATAACTTAGGTTTCTGTATTTTATATGCTATAGCATAAATTCAGAAATCTTGTACAGGTACATATGTGTACTTGAAAATATTCAGCTGTGGGAAATAGCACATGAATAGAAAAAGGAACTTGTTGTTAAGATTGTTACTGATACCACTATTGTCTGCTGACATCATATCATATACTCAAATTGTTCCATAACTGCAGCATGAGAATGTTTAAATTCCAAATCAAATTAGTTTTAATTCAAAAATGAGAAGCACAGACATTTCCTTAGGTCTCTGTAAATTATTCATTAATTTATCATGCATTTTCTGAATGTTTCTGCGCAATGTTTGTGTTTTAAGTCAGACTAAATTTAATTTTTTTGTGAGGTGGCAATGAGTTTTTAAAAAGGTGTTGGCAAATTACAAAAAAAAAAGCCTGAGTTAAGATAAAGAATAGATTTAGAAAAGATATTTTGGAATAACTATTTGAAAACACACATAAAGAAAATAAATATTTATATTAGTTTACAAATGGCCTTTATATCTCATTAAGTATAGAGTGAGTGGCCTTAGATGTGTATAGAAGGGAGTGATGAATTTTGGTAGAGCATTATGGCCTATTACTTTGTACCCAAAAACACAGTGGCCACAGCTATACTACTACCACTCTATACACACACACACACACACACACACACACAACTATAAATATATACATACACATATATGTACACACTGCTACTATATATTTCTCATGAAATAATAGCAATATATATTATATATTAATATATAATAGCAAACTGTGTACATATATGTGTATGTGAACATATAAAAGATATATGAAATATATACATGCATAGTAGCAAATAGTGCACATATATGTGTATGTACCTATGGAAGATATGTGAAATATGCTGACATATACCATAAAATATATATGCTCTTACAAATAGTTCATGTATCATAAAACATATATGAAATACCTATATGTATATATAGTAGCAAATAGGTACTACCTGTGTTCATATCATTAGCCTCCTATACTTGAGACTTTACTGAATGATGAAATGCATTTGCCATGCTTGTCCACCTTCAGAATCCTAATACACTCTAAAACTATTTGAAAGATATGGACAAGTATAGTTAGCACCTGTGTATGGTGGTAGCATAAATTATATTCACATTCAGCTCTGAAGTGCAAGAGAATCAAACTACTTTATTTATAATTGATTCATTTTTCAAAAGCTGTAAAGAACTGGAAGGCAGTTTCATTCAATATAGTTTATCCAATTTAATTATGTTTATAACCCTATAAGTAACACTCAGTCCTTCTGGGTAAAAATGTTCATATTCCCTGAGTTTCACCCACATTGCTGTTTACAGATCTACTCCATGGAGCCTGATGGTTCCTTGATAATGGGGGAGATTAGGACTCACATTTTCTCATGATTTTGTTTTTCTGGACTCTACGTGGTGCCATTTGGTTCTACATGGTGTGTCTTCTGAATCCTGTTTTTCTGGTACTGACCAGTGTGACAGCTCTAGATGAAGTTTGTAGTAGGTGTGAAACATGATCTGTGATTACTCAGCGTGGTTGGAACCCTGTCATGCTTCCTGGTTGATGTAGCTTACTTTTCTTATACTAAGGCCACTGTGCCCCTGAAATTGGCTCTATCGTCCCAGGCCCATGGGGGCTCACCCTGTTCCCTTGGCTGAGTGCTGCTTCTGTATCTCCCAGTATACTCTGGAATACTACCCAATGAGACTTTCATCTGTTTTGGTGTTACACACAAAACACAGAGTAAGAAAGAAGCTGAGCAAAGCTAAATTTCAAGGCCTCTTTCATGCAGCCCATCCCAAGCTGTGCTGCAAATTTCCTTTGATATAACTGACACTTTGTTTTGGGAGGCTATTTCATGTTGTCAAATAAAATTTAATTAATTAATTTGATAGATTTGAAGATTTTCATTTATTACTTAAATTTTTAAAATATAATTGCATATTATATATGTGTGTAATAATATATATTATTATATAAGTAATCTTCCATATTCATTTTATTTGTACATCTAGCCAAAAAAATGTGACAAAAATTAAGGTAAGAAAGAAATAATAAAATGAAAAAAAAGCACTTTAAAACATACAGAGACTTTTCTTTAAAGTCTACATTCAAAATGGTACTTTCTCTTCAATTAACACTAAAGCATTTAGACAGTCTAATGCTGAGAAAAATGTAGCTCATAATGTTAATCTATTTAATTGAGCTTACAGTAATAATTGAAAATACATGACTATGTTATGTTTCTGTCTCTAGGTCCACTTAGGAGGGTAACAATCTCTTGATCCGTTTACTATAATTTAGTAAGAAAGTAATTTAAAAGTTTGCACAGAACAGTTGTCCTGGATGTATTCACCCATTCTAAAGGAAGTTGAAAGGAACACCTAGCTGAACCTGCGTTTATTAGAATACAGCGAGTAAAACTACAGCTTTTGTCAATGTGCACTGTGGCTTTTGCCTTCTAGCAAGGAAAAGGATCAGTATTCCAGATGAACACCATGGATCATCAAGTCAAACCCCTTGTCAACAAAATAAATTCAAATGAAAGCTTATGTGACTTTTGGAAAAAGTAGAAAATATTCTGAAAGCTGCAAAAGACATACAATCTAAATCAAGATGATACATAGTTCCATATTTAGCAAATTCATTTCATTCTAAATTTACACTTTACTGACTGTAAAATACATCAGACACCAGAAAATTGCACATCTTATTTAATAAACCAAAGAAAAACAAACACACATAATTTCTAGAAGAATATATACATCATGGACACGTCAGAAGATAAAAATCACATTTCCTAGTGATAAATACATTATAAACTGGTAATTGAGATATTATAAACTACACATTCTAGACAAACTCCATTATATTTCATGTATTTTATTGACAATTAAGATGTGAAAATGAATGCAATTTTAATCTGGTGGTAGGATACCATTAGTTTGTTCTCCTGATACAGAGCAAGAGAAGACTTGGGAACAGGTAGCTATTGTGGGCAGGGGATAGTATTAAGAAGTTAGAGTAAAGGGACTGGGAAACTGATATAGGTATGACAAGGAACCCAAACTGGCATTACATTTCCAGATAATTGTCAGAAAGAGGTCAATCCTGCTGAGGACTCTCTGAAGAAGGATGTGGAACAAAACTTAGAATTGTCCTTCTGGGAGACTGGAGACTGGAACATCTATTCACTGACCACCATTCTCTATTAATGAAGGCCGCCCCAGGAGCATCAGCTTCCCTGCACTTCAAGGATATACTTGCATTGATTAAGCTCTTAGGGTGTCAAAGAAAGCCTGAGGCAGAAAGCTGAGATGTTGGAAGATATCTGTGGAATTAGGTAGTGTCCATCACAGCTAATGTGAATGTTAAAAGCTGAGCCTTGTGGTTGAGACTCTGGATATCAGTCATGACTATCACACATAATCCTACAATCTCCCATTCCATTTATGAGAAATAACATTGTATATTTGGATATTTATATTCAGGCAATAAAACAGTAGGCAACTGTAGAAGATTAAGGTCATTTGGAAGCCTTTCTTACCTAGTCAGAATCTGAAATGAATAATGCTAAAACTGGATTATCAGGAAAAAAGTAATTTGTGGAATACATTCACAAACTGTATTTTTGGTTCTCATATTCTCCTAAAAGCAGCATGTACAAATGAACATGCTCTATGGATAGGATGTTGACTACTGTGACTGAATAATTTAGAATAATAAAAAATTTATACAGTAATTGCTAGAGTAAAGGCACTTTCTACCTATCAGGAAAATCACATAATATCATGAGATAAATCATTATAAACAAATGTCTTAATGTAAATGCTAATACTTGGTAAGTTTCAATATAATGTATTCATTTCCAACTTGAGTTTTGTAATTACTTGCTACATAACAAACATTTTAAACATAAACAATGCAAATAGTGAAATGTATTTGAATATAGTAAAATAGTTTTTTGAAATATTATAGATTATGTTTGTCATTTCATATCCATTGCCTTATAGTTTCTGTTCTCTCTCTCAGTGTGTGTGTGTTTGTGTGTGTGTAAAATATCATCGTATGACTTGCTGATACTCAGCTTCGAAAAAATGATACATCAATAATATGGCACTTCGGCAGGTGCTTTGAATTAAAGGAAATTAAATAGCCATTAGAAATAAGGCTCAAAACCAAGTTCACTCTCTGACCCTCCCCTGCCCCCCTTTCTCTTGATTCTTTTTATTTTATGAAGCACCAAAATACTGAGAGTTATCCTCTCTGGAATTTCCTTATTTGACTAGGGAAGATTTTCTCCAAGAGAAATGCAATTGTCTTAAGAACCTCTCCTAAGGGTCTCATCAAATAAACAGAAAATTTAACCACAGGAGAAGAAGAGAAACAAGGAGTTATCACCATGCCTAGACAAACTTTTATTTTTGTCTTTTGAGGGGCCCTCCCAGAGATTTCCCTGGAGGCTTTCTCTGCATAAGACAAATTTTGTTCACAGTGAAGTTCAGCCCTTTACTTTCCCACCACCTTTGCTGGAACTCAGAGGGATTTTGACCCAGAGTTTTTTGGACTCATTCATTTTCCCTGAAAATCATATACTCCTACACATCCACCTCTAGTTCCCTATGAAGAAGGACATATAAGCATCGGGACTACAGTAGGTTAGTGAGTAGTCATTTTGTAATTCTCTTGTGCTCACGCACATTACATTTTTTATTGTTTTTTCTTTTTCCTCCTGTTTATCTGCAGTGAGTCTTCAGAGGGCAAAGGAGAAACTCTCTTCCTGACCCCACATCAAAATAAATAAATAAATATGTATATTTATTTATCTCTCTCTATATATATATACATATGCATATATAATCAATATATATAATTTTATTTGGTTGTTTTTTAATTATAGCAAATAAAATATTTGGGGAATGGGAACACTTGTTAATCAAATTATTATCACCATCAAGTTAACAGTTAAGTTCATAGTGTGATTTCAGGGAATGTCTTAGAAATAGTTTTCTTCGAATTTCCATAGTGCACGAATCCTGTTGATTCTAGGTTTTATTTGAAATGTAATCACAGGAAGAGCATAGTGTTAAACCTTTAGAATTGAGTGTGCTACTTATTGCATCAATTTAATGCAATGAGCCCATTGAATGTCAGGCCTTGGCAGAGTTGAAGATTAAAATAAGCGTAGATGAGGCCCCTCTGAAAGAAAAAAAAATGATTCATATAAATGGCATTTTGTATATGATTATCTGAATAGTCAGGAGGGAAAATAAGAGTTCCAAATCAAGATAATTGTGTTATTTGGAAAGTATTACAGATCACTACATGCAACAGATCAAACCAGTGAGAATATTTCATAGGAAATGCAATAAAATATTAATTTGGTAAAAGGAACAGAGTACATAATGAAACAGAGCAGATGAATGCAAAATGATGGAGATGAAAGTAAGCATTAAGTGCAGACAAGTTGTTAGGCAAACCAGTTGGGAGAAAGAGAAAGATAAAGGAAATTTTCACTTGGGCAAGCCTGGTGAAAGATTATCTGATGGACAAGGGCTGAAACAAAGCAAAGCTTTCCATTGGCAGATCTTGCTCTCTTAAGAATCCTAATGGCACTTAGTTTCTATGTCATATATTTTGCCATTAAAGGTTACATTACTTGAACTTTAAACTATTTCATAAATACATGTCTTATTTTCCAAAGCAGAAGGCTATTGTTTTTTAAGAGTGTTCAGGAAGTATTCTAATGCTTTTCTATACAATAAGATGCAAGTCTGAAGCTGTTGGTGTCCATCTCTCTACATTATGAAGAAAGCCTTCCTTCTAGCTGTTCTGAAAAGAGAATCAGGAGTTAGCAGCAGAGTTAATTCTGATACATCATTTGAGAACCTGGATGAAGTCATATTTGAAGACCACACTACCCTTTTTTTTTTTAGGTATGTGAGTTAATATTTTTTTATTGTATAGCTTGAGTGTCAGTAAGTCAGTGTTATAAAATAATAATCTTTATTAAATGTGTTTAGATATTTGAATTTTATAACTCTTTTGTGTTTATTTTAACTAGTGACAGACTTATTTAACATTCTAACTTAGTTTGCATAGCTTTTTATTGTTTGGTCATGTTTGTTTTATAAAATATTCAGAAATCATTTAATATAAAGGAAGCATAATCAGTAACTGACAAACATAAGATTAATTAATCTTCCCCCCAAAAATAAGAAAAACTAATCATCAAAAAAGCTAAGAAAAGTTAATATCTGGTATCATTTCAGAAGTGTGAATTACATGATTTGGTACCAACATTCTCTTGGGATTCTGGCTCAGGTTTGAAATGTCAGCAGGGGTTTATCCATTTTGCTAGGTTGCTTGCTGTGCTTAAATTCCTTCTCTCTGTAGTCGTCTTTAATATTCACTAGGCTAATTCAAATGCTTTGCATTCTAAAACAATGGAAATAGTGAAATGCTAGACCATCCTACTGGAGATTACTGAACATGTTCTACACGTATTTCTCTAAAGAATCCAAGGAAAGAAAACATGAATTAGTATCATGGCTTTTTTAAAAAGGTGGCTATATTTTTTAATACAAAATTTAATGCAATTTATAATGTCTACATACATTTGATTAGAAAAAATATGATCACATGACTTTCTTTTTATTCATTGGCCATTCTTTTCAAGGTCAAATATAATTTTGAATAATCCATAACCAATTACATCAACAATAGGTTATGAAAAATAGTTATAGTTAAGTCCACTATGAAAGGATTTGCATTTCTATTATTAAACAAAAATCTTTCTTAAATAAGGGTATGAAGACTATAAAAAGAGCAAAACTAATACAATTAGCATATAATTTTAATTATGAAGTTTGTCAGATTACAGTATTCTGCTATTATTTATAAAAGGTTGTTACAGAGCTACCAAAGCAAGCAGTCATAAATTTCAGGAAACCAACTTCTATGAAAGGCATATCTTGCATCTTGCACATTTCTTGTGTTTGCATAATCACAGCATATTGTATTATAATTACAAATGTAATAGGTAGGAAAGTAACTGTGTTAGTTTGTTTCTCTACAAATTCAATCATTCATTCAAGCTAGATTCTTAAAGCTCAACAGTACAGCTCGCAGAACGAAAGTAGAAATTAATGCTGAACATATAGGCATTGCAGGGACATAAAATGTCATTAAAGATTAGGTGAGATATATATCTTTCCACTACAGAGGTCTGTCATAGTTATCCTTAATTTTGAAGACCTCAGGACTCTACCAGCTATGATTCATTAACTTCATTTTATATCAAGTATAATAAATCACCTCAAATTCAAGTAGAGTCTTGAATAATATGTTTTATCATAGAACTCCATAAATCATGTTCTGAGTGGAGGGCCCTTATCCTTGTTAACCACAACAGGCAAAACAAAGCTTAGTTTACTTTCCAAGGGGAAATCCTGAAATTCCCCCAATTATAAAACAATTCTTTGTTTGACAGACTTTCAAATATAATTTCAGATCATTTTTCAACTCAAAACTAGAAACAGAAGAAAAGCTGGAGCAAGATGACTGAATTCAACTTTCTAGCAATTATCCCCTGAAGAAACCCCAAATTGAACAAATATTTACACAAGAAAGCACCCTTATAACCAAAAAGTAAGGTGAGCAATCACAATACCTGGTTTTATCATAATAACAAAGAAAAAGGCATTGAAGAAGGTAGGAAGGAGAGCCATGAATTACCTACACCACTCCTGCCCCAACTCCAGGCAGCATAGCAGAGAGAAAGAAACTACGCTTGGGAGAGGGAGAGCAAAATGAATATGGGAATTTCCGTTGAAATTAAGTGCTTCTCTGTCACTGTCTCAACACCAGGAAGAATTTTGCTGGTGCCCACAGAGGGAGCAGTTAAACCACCACTGGTCCAGAAGAGAATCCTTTACCCCAGCTGGAGGAACCTGAATCTCAGCTATCTTCACCACTGAACGACTAAAGAGGTCTAGCGCCACAAATAAATTTGAGCAGCAGGCCACGGAGATTGTAGTCCTTGGGCAAGCCTTGGCACTGTGCTAGTCTCATAGGCAGTGGGCTTAGGATGCAACCCAGTTTGACACCAACCTTGGCGGTGTCTACACTGCCAACATCAGTGCTATGAGAGTGCCGGGATTGCCCTTCCCCAAATCCAGGCAGTGCAGTGTGAGGAGAGACTTGTTCTGCCTAGAGGAAGGCGAAGGAAGAGGACTTTGTCTTTCAACTTGGGTAAAAGCTCAGTCACAGTAAAACAAAGCACCGGGCAGATTTCTTAAGCCTCGAATTCCAGGCTTTTGCTCCCAGAAGTTGTTTTGAGACCCAACTTGGGCCAGAAGATAATCTGCTGCATTGGTGAGATGGAAACAGTCACAGCAGGATTTACAACCTGCTGACTAAAACAGCTTTAGGCCTGTAATAAACATCAGTGACAGCCAGGCAGCAGCAGACTGAGGCCTTGGGTGAGCCCGAGTACTGTGCTGGTGAAAGACTGTGGGCTTCAAATGCAACCCAGCATGGTGCCAGCTGTGGTGGCCATGGTAGTGCCCACATTACCCCTCCCCCAACTCCAGGTGGCACAGTGTAGTGAGAAACTTGTTCTGTTTGGGGGAAAGTGAGGGAAGGAAGTAAGAAAATTTACTTGGGAACCCAAGTAAAGGAAAGACAATGGGGAAAATGCATTGAAGGCATTTCAGAGACTTTTATGGCAGCCCCTCCCATCACAGGCCCAGAGGCCTAGAAGGAAAGAATGGATTTGTGGGCCAGACTTAGGGTTCTGCTGCCTTGCTTAACCTCAGGATACTGCTCCTTGCATCCCAGCCACTCCACCTCCAGCCATGGCTAAAATGGTCCCAGATAAGTCTCAGGCTGCTGTTCCAGAGGATGCAAGCCATAAGCCTTGCTGGCTTCCGTGTGGTGTTAAGCCAGCAAGTGTGCAGAGGGCAATAGTTGAGGCTTGGGGCCCTCCACCTAGATTCCAGGGGATGTATGGGAATGCCTGGATATCCAGGCAGAAGTCTGCTGTAGGGGTGGAGCCCTCATGGACAACCTCTACTAGGGCAATGCAGAGGGGAAACATGGTGTTGAAGCCCCCACACAGAGTCCCCACTGGGGCACTGACTAGTGGAGCTCTGAGAAGAGGCCACCATCCTCCAGAACCCAGAATGGTAGGTCCATCGATAGCTTGCATCATGCACCTAGAAAAGCTGTAGGCACTCAAAGCCAGCCTATGAAAGCAGCTGAGGGGGCCATATCCTGCAGAAACACAGGGGTAGAGATGCCCAAGCCCTTGGGAGGTCACCTTTGCACCAGTGTGGCCTATATGTGAGACATGAATTCAAAGAAAATTATTTTGAAGCTTTAAGATTTAATGACTGCCTTTCTGGGTTTCTGGCTTGCATGGGGCCTGTAGCCCCTTTTTTATGGCCAATTTATCCCTCTTTGAATGAATTTATTTACCCAATACCTGTATCCCCACTGTATCTTGGAAGTAGCTAACTTGCTTTTGAATTTGCAGGTCCATAGGCAGAAGTGACTTGCCTTGTCTCACATGAGACTTCGGACTACAGACTTTTGAGTTAATACTAAAATGAGTTAAGAATTGGGAAACCATTGAGAAGGGAGGATTGTATTGTTAGAAGGACATGAGATTTGAGAAGGACCAGGGGTGGAATGATATGGCTTGGATTTGTGTTCCCACCCAAATGTCATGTTGAATTGTAATCCCCACATGTCAGGGGAGGGACCTGATGGGAGGTGATTGGATCATGGGGATGGACTTCCCCCTTGCTGTTCTTATGATAGTGAGTGAGTTTTCATGAAATCTGACTAATTTAAAATCTGTAGAACCTCCCTGCTCTCTCCCTTTTTCTGCAGCTCCCACCCTGTAAGACATACCCACTTCCCCTTCATCTTCCGCCATGATGGAAAGTTTCTGAGGCCTCCCCAGCTGTGCTTTCTGTACAGCCTGTGGAACCATGAGTCAATTAAACTTCTTTTCTTTATAAATTACCCAGTCTCATGTATCTCTCTGTAGCAACGCAAGAATGATCAAATACACCTAGAAAGACACATATAGACTAAAAATAAAAGGTGGAAAAAGATATTCCAGGAAAGTGAAAGCAAAAAGAGCAGATGTGTCTATAATTATATATGATAAAATAGATTTCATGACAAAATCCATGAAAAGGGAAAAATATGTCATTTATAATGCTAAATGTGTCATTTCAGTAAGAGAATATAATAATTGTAAATGCATATGCACTTGTACACCCAGACATATAAATTAAACATTATTAGAGCCAATGATAGATCACAATACAATGACAGTAGGGAACCTCAATACCTCACTTTCAGCATTGGGCAGAACATCAAGACCAAAAATTAACAAAGACACAACAGACTGAATCTGCATTCTGGAACAAATGGACCTAATAGATATTTACAGAACATTTCATCCAATCAGTGTACAATACACATTATTTTCATCACACTTAACTTTGTCATGGACAGACGATATGTTAGGTCACAAAACAGCTCTCAGAAAAATCAAGAGATGTTGAAATCATATCAAGTTTCTATTCTGACCACAATGGAATAGAACTAGAAATCAATAACAAGAGGAACTTTGAAAATTATACAAATACATAGAAATTAAATATACTCTTGAACAATCAATTAAGAAAAAAATTTTAAAATTGTAGAAACAAGTGAAAATGGAAGCACAAAATACTAAAACTTATGGGATACAGCAAAAGATGTACTGAGAGAAGTTTATAGTAATAAATGCTTACATCAAAAACAGAAAATCTTCAAATAAACAACCTAACGATGTAACTTAAAGAACTTGAAAAGCAAAAGTAAACCAAATCCAAAATTAATAGAAGAAAAGAAATAATATCAGAGCAAAAATAAATAAAATTAAGACTAGAGAAATACAAAAGATCAATGAAACAAAAAGTTTTTTGAGATTAACAAAATCAACAAACCTTAAGCCTTACTAACTAAAAAGAAGTAAGGGAAAAATACCCAAATAAGTTAAATCAGATGAGAAAAAGAAACATGAAAACTGATACCTCAGAAATGCAAAGGACCATTACAGAATATAATGAAAAACCTTATGCCCCAAATTGGAAAACATAGAAGAGACAGATAAATTCCTAGACAGATACAATCTACCAAGATTGTACCATAAGCACACCCAGTAATGAGATAGAAGTAGTAATAGAAAGTCCCCGAATAAAACGAAAGTCCCAGACCTACTGACTTCACTGCTGAATTCTACCAAATATTTAAAAAAGAACTAACGCCAATTATTTTCAAAGAAGTGAAGGAAGGAATACATCCAAGTTCATCCCACAGGATAATATTACCTTGATACCAAAACCAGAAAAAGACATAACAAAAAAAGAAAACCACAGGCCACTATCTCCGATGAACATAGATGCAAAAATCTACAACAAAATACTAGTAAACCAAATTCAACAACATATTAAAAAGATCATTTATCATGATTAAATGAAACTCACCCAAGCGATTCAAGGATGATTCTCAACATACACAAATCAAATAAATGTGTTAAAACATATCTTTACTATCAAAAACGAACACTATATGAAAATTTCAATTGATGCTGAAAAAGCATTTGATAAAACGCAACATTTATCAAAAACAGCATAAAATAAAATCCAACATCCCTTCATGATAGAAACTTTTGAAAAATTGGTTATAGAAGGGACATATGTCAACAGTGATAAAAGCCATATATGACAGTCCCTCAGCTGCTATCAAATTTAAAATTGAATAACTGAAAGCCTTTCCTCTATTATCTGGAACAAGACAGGATGCCCATTTTCACCACTTTTATTCAACATACTACTGGAAGCCCTAGCAAGAGTGAATAAACAAAAGGAAGAATTAAAGGGCATCTAAACTGGAAAAGAAGTCAAATTGCAGATAATGTTATCTTATATTTAAAACAACTTTACTGGAAAACTTTCCAGTTTCCATCTTTATTGGATGGAATAAAACTAATGAATGACTTTGGTAATCAATGTACAAAAATAGTAGCATTTTTATATTCCAGCAGTGAACAATCAGAAAAAAAAAGAATTAATCCCATTTACAAAAGGTCTTACCTTTTGAGATCTTACTAGAGAAGTCTTTGCCCTGACCAATGTCCTGGAAACTTTCTCTAAAGTTTTCTTATAGTTTCATAGTTTCAGGTCTTAGATCTAATATTTTAATCTTTGTTGTTTTGATTTTTGGATAAGGTGAAATGTACGGATGTAGTTTCATTCTTACAGATATCTAGTTTTCCCAGCACCATTTGTTGAAGAGACTTTTCCCAATGTATGTTCTTGGCTCCTTTGTAAAAAATGAGTTAACTGTAAAAGCATAGATTTGTTTCTGGATTCTCTATTCTGATACATTGGTCTATATGTCTTTTTATGCCAGAATCATGTTGATTTGGTTACTATAGCTTCGCAGTATAGTTTGAAGTCAGGTAATGTGAAGCATCCAGTTTTGTCTTTTTCACTCGGGATAGCCTTGGCCACCACGCCCAGCCATGATATGGTATCTTAATATCACTCTGCCTTATATAATGAAAATTGAACTATTTATGCCTTCATTGCCTGTTTATATGAGTCACCGCTAGGACTCCAGAGCTCTCAAATCATTCCCTGCACCACATTCTATAACCTCCATGTAGCTCTGTATATTTATTTTGTAATCCCGTTTTCCATCCCCCTCTAGCCCTTGAAATCTTCCCAGTGTGCTCTCTAGAAAGGAAGGTTTGTTGACAGTTATGTTATATACTCTCACTATTTACAATACTCCTATTCTTTTTGCTCTATCTGAAATCAGGACTTCCTCTAAAATGCTGCATCTCTTGCAAGTATTATAAGTGGTTACTGATTTTTCCCAGTCTATCTTTTCATGTAAATCCAGATTCTAATGAGTATTAATTTGAATTATTTTTGTCTACTACCCTTTACTCTTTTCCAAAGGATTTATTAATACAAACATTGCCAAGCCCAATCCTTATTAAATGTGCTGTTGACTTATTCTGCATCAACAAAATAAAAATAAAAGAGTGAAAATAATAAACGACATGGTGACTAGTCTCACTTTAAAAATATGGACCATTTGCCTCTAGCTGGCTCTCCCATGTAAATGCATTGAAATACCTGAGACCTTCTACACATCCCAAGGTGTGTGCATTAAAATCACCCGGGCAACTTTTTAAAAATTGCAATGTTTAGACCTACCCCAAACCAATTAATTCATAATTGCACATGTGCTTGTTAAAGCTCCACAGGCACTTTTGGTATGCAGCCATGCTTGAGAACCACTAATCTAAGCCATTTGCTAACCATATTCTTGGGTGAATATTTAATATCTTTCATTTTATATCTTCCATTCTCTTCAAACTTTCAATACTTCCTTTCCTTTCTTTCTTCACAGAATCAGTTATTAGAAACATTTTACCACTTTCACTCCATGTCAGCCCACTTATATGGGTGAAGCCTACAAACATTGCCTTCTTTTCTAGGTATCTTGATTTTTTTCCCTTATATTCTACAGTTATCTGCTGATACTCTTTAGCAAGCCCCGGCTGCAGAAATTCTGTTCTCTCTTTTTGCATCATCAGTTTTCTATCTCTTCAGAGTAAAGTCTACCAACATACTAATGATGCACTTTATTTCCTCTTAAAATAAAGGAAGGACACAAAACTTTGTTCTTGACTACAAATCCGTCTTCAAATTCCTAGTTCTCTATTTATTGTTTGCTCCAGCCATGCTGTCCTCATCGTTTCTTGAACATTTCAACATGTTCTCATATTTGGGACCTTGGATATTCTTTCCACAGATATCCTCATGGTATGCTTTTATAACTTACTCAAGTATGTGCACAAATGACCAAGATTCATGCCCCAAATGACTACCCTACTCTCTTCTTTCCCATGGTTGTACCATGTTTCTTTGTAGCAATCCTTGCCATCAAAAATAATATATTATATATATAATGCATTCCAGATTTGGAGAGTACAACTGATTAGTTCAGGGATTTTTATTTAATTTTTGACTCTCAGTGGCCATGTCTTCTCTGCTATCACCTTTGTTTATGCCAACATTATATTTGTAGTTATTAGTTGTTCTATTTGCTTTTATTATTTTCCCTTTTTTACCCAGTTACCCCAATATGGCAATCAGACTGATGTCTTTAAATTACAAATTATATCAGACTATGCTTCTGTCCAATATCTATACAATTTCTTCCAAGTCATTCAGAGTAAAATCCAGTCTCTAGAATATACTGTAAGATCTACATAATTGCCCCCTTAAGTACCAGTCTGCTTGGGCTGTTGTGTTAGTTCGTTTTCACATGCGGAAAAAGACATACCCGAGACTGGGAAGAAAAAATAGGTTTGATGGACCTACAGTTCCACATGGCTAGGAAAGCCTCACAATCATGGTGGAAGGCAAGGAGGAGCAAATCACATCTTACATGTATGGCAGCAGGCAAAAAGAGAGCTTGTGCAGGGAAACTCCCATTTTTTAAAACCATCAGATCTTGTGAAACTCATTCACTATCACGAGAAACAGTTCAGGAAAGACCTGCCCCATAATTCAATCACATCCCACAAGGTTCCTCCCACAACACGTGGGAATTGTGGGAATGACAATACAAGATGGGATTTCATGGGAACAGAGCTAAACCATATCAGCTGCCATAACAAAATTACCATGGACTGGGTGTTGTAGACAACAGAAATTTATTTTCTCACTTTTCTGGAAATGGGGACATCTAAGATGATTCAGTTTCTTGTGAGAACTCTTTCTAGCTTGCAGATGGCCTCACTGTGTTCTCAGGAGAGAAACGGAGAGATCATCCTCTTCTCATTGGATTAGGGACACATCCTCATGACTTCATTAAACCTTAATTACCTCCTAAAATTCCTACCTCCAAATTTAGTCATATTGAGGATTGGAGCTTCAACATGTAAGTTTAAGGGGAACACAATTCCATCTACAGCCCATTGTTACCAAAATGACCTCAGTGCCTTTTACAGTAATCCCCCGTTATCCACAGAGAATTCCAAGGTTTCTGGTGGATTGCTGATGACAGATAATACTAAACCCTATATATGTATTTTTTTCTATACATTCATACGTATGATAAAGTAAGATAGGTACAGTAAGAAATTAACAACTATAAATAAAACAAAATATACTGTAATAAAAGTTATGTAAATGTGATCTTTTTTTCTCAAAATATCTGAATATCTTCTGACTACTGTTGATAGTGGGTAGCTAAAACCATGTAAAGCAAAACCCCAGATAAGGAGGGACTACTGTTCTCTCTCTCTTGCCTACTCCTGTCTGTCCTTGACCATGGCCAGAAGCTCTCTACCTCAAGGTTTTTGACTCTGCAATTTTCTCTTTGCCCTCAGAAGTCTGCAGATAAACTTCTTTCTTAAACAAATATCACCTACTAAGTGATACTTTCTTAATCTCCCTGTTCGAAATTGCAAACCCCCTTTCCTAACAACTCCTATTTCTCCTTCATGTTTCATTTTTCTCTGTGGCATTTCCTAACATCTAACGCACACTATAGTTTCCTTTTTAACATAGTTATCGCGTGTCTTTAGAAAAGTATTAAGTTCAACTAAGGACATTTTTTTTAGTTCAAGACTTTTCTAAAAGTCAAGAAGTAGAAAAGTCCTTGTCTTTCAGAAGGTACTTCTGAAAGAATATAATGCTATGCTAACTTTTAATAAAATACATACAATTTTCCTATTATGAACACCATAATCACTGACATGATTAGGCTGTGTCCCCAATCAAATCTCATCTTGAATTGTAGCTCCCATGATCCCCACATGTCATAGAAGGGACCCCGTGGGAGGTAATTGAGTCATGGGGCAGGTTTTTCCCGTGTGGTTCTTGTGATAGTGAATAAGTCTCAGGAGATCTGATGGTTTTATAAAGGGAAGTTCCCTTGCACAGTCTCCCTTGCCTGCCACCATATAAGACATCCCTTTGCTCCTCTTTCACCTCCTGACATGATTGTGAGGCCTGCCCAGCCATGTGAAACTGTGAGTCCATTAAACTTCATTTTCTTTATAAATTACCCAGTCTTGAGTATTCCTTCATAGAAGTATGAAGATGGACTAATACAATCACATAGTATGAACTTTTTATGTTTGGATTCTTGTTCTTAACATTATTATTCCGACATTAATCTATTCTATGATGTTAAGAATGGCAACAGATTATTCATTTGTGTCTTTCATTTGTCCATTCTACTGCAGATGAACATTTGAGTTATTTCAGTTTCTGCCTTTAATGGATAATGCTTTAGCTGACATATTTCACCTGGTTTTGAGGCCTGCTGAATATATTTCTACTGTTTATTTACCTACGGGGTTATTAGGCCATAGATTTTTGTATATTTTATCTTTAATAGATAATGCCACATATTTTCCCAAATTGGTTCTAATAATATTCACTCTTTCCAGTACTGTATGAGGGTTTCAGTTGCTCCTTGTCATCACTTGATATTTTACAATTTTACATTTTGCATTAGTAATGAATAAAATAGTGGAATCTCATTACCCTACTAGGTAATGATGTTGATCCCCTTTATAAACTTTTCAGTCACTCAAAATTCTTTTTATTAAAGCCCCCATTTTTACTCATATTTAACAAAAACTTAGATTATTTTCTCATTGATTTCTAAGATTATTTTATATATTACATCAGGAATAGATTTTATTTATTATGTGATGTAGGAATTTAAACCATAATATGGTTATATATCCTTGGATAAACAAACCAGCACCTTTCTCAATTGATTGCTGGCCAAGAAATATGCATAAACCTCCTTCCACAATTCTAGAGAATATGTGAAAACAAGAGCAGAGTAGCTTCTTCAGCTAGCATCTCTGCTCCTTTTTCACATTCTAAAAAAAGAATTGCTGTTTTCTCTTTCATAGTGTGTCATATACTCTGGAGTGCTGCTTTTCGTATCATTTATCTATGCTCTGCAGCCCTTCTGGTCATTTGTAAGAGAAATCTGATACATCGTACAACTCCCTACCTCTTTCCCAATTGACACCATCTTCCCTTATATAGTCGTTCAGCCTCAAGTATTTCCCATTAAATTAAATATAAATATCAGTTTTATGTTATGCATCCTCCATAATATACTCATATGTTTTCTAAGAGGAGAGAAAAGAAACAATTATCTTTACTAAAATTATTGAAAACATGAAATTTCAAAAATTACAATGGCTTCTTAATAAAGGCAAAGTTTTTATAACAGGTTTATTACTGTATATTTCAGTGAGTTTCCTAATGCCTTATAATTAATACATTAGTTCATTCTCATATTGATATAAAGAACTACCTGACACTGGGTAATTTATGAAGAAGAGAGGCTTAATTGACTCAGAGTTCTGCAAGCTTAACAGGAAGCATGAATGAAAGGGCTCAAGAAACTTACAATCATGGAGGAAGCGAAAGCAGGCACCTTCTTCACATGGGTGCAGGAGAGAGAGAGAGAGAAGGGGGAAGTGCCACACACTTTTAAACTATCAGATATCATGAGAACTCACTCACTATCATCAGAACAGAAAGAGGAAAGTCTTCCATGATTCAGTCACCTCCCACCAGGTCCCTCTCCTGACATATGAGAATTACAACTCCAGTGAGATTTGGGTGAGGACATACAGCCAAACCATATAAATTACTAACTATTGTGCATTTAATAAAGTAACAAATATTTATCACTTTTCATGTATAATAGTGTTATTATGTTTGTGTTTCTAAATACGTCATTGGAACTGCATTCTACATAAATGCTGCAGTGTTCAGGTATAAAGCCATCCTGATTTTAAATCTCAAGGCCAGAGTTTTCCTCTCTTCTGGTGAGAGAGGAATACTGGGCTCTGAATTAGTTTTAAGATATTTTATGTAAAGGATATTCTTTAATGCGGCTAATGAACATCATTTTTTGTGTGTGTTATACATTGGTTCATTTAAATCCATGCCTTCAGCATTAGCAAAACTTGGAGAAGCAACTTAATGACCTGGATACTGAAATTAATTAATAATATAGCCACAGATTTTTAATGACTTGGAATACTAAAAAGTAATTCACTAAGTATTTCATATATATTAAAACTTTTAATAATTAAAAAACTATAACTAGGGCTAAATCCATTCATACCTCATGTTAAAACATGATTTTCCTCATAATAGGATATCAATATTTTATTCCTACTGAATGTGATAAGCATTTAAAAATATCATTTTACAGCACTTTAGGCAATGATTTTTTAAACCATAAACTTGGAGTAATCTGATATATGCACATATCATTATGATCCCTTCTCAAAAATTCATAAAATATGAAATTGATTTATATTTTAGAATTTTGTATCACCCACTAAACTGTTTAATTCCAATTGAGAGTTGCTCAATGTGTTTTTTTATAAATCAAAATTAGTTATTCCTATGAGACAGTAATTATTGGCAGGGAATTCATTCCAAGTTCCCCAGTGGATGCCTGAAACCACGGAGAGTAACCATCCCAATTGCTGTCAATCAGAAAATATTTCTGATCATGTCTTCTACTCACAAATGTAATGTCTTTTTCATACTAACTAAACACATATTATGTACTGTGGCCACAACTTTACCAGGTTAAGTTGCAAGAGCAAAACTGACACAAATTTCTTTTTCCATCTTTACAATTTCATGGATAAAAGATTGTCTTTTCCATAGATGTTAGCAACCTTTGAATATGATGTTTTTCTCTTTTCTCATTAAGTCAATAACTTTCATTTTTTCCACTTAAAGAATGCACGTATGGCTTCTGCTTGGGATATCAAAATTACTCTTGTGCTTTGGGGCCATTATTAAGTTAAATAAAGATTATCTAAACACAAGGACTGCAGTACCAGAAAAGTTAACCTGAGAACCAAGATGGCTACTAAGTGACTAAAGTGATGGGCAGTGTCTACAGCATGGATCTGCTAAACAAAAGTTTGATTTATGTCCCAGGCAGGACTGAGTTGAATGGCATGAGATTTCATCATGCTACACAGAATGGTGCACAATTTAAAATGTATGAATATTTCTGAAATTTTTCATTTAATGTTTTTGCATCATGGTTGTCTTGGATAACTGAAACCATGAAAAACCAAACAGCTGATATGCGGGAACTACTGTAGATATGCAGGTGGTGGGGGTAATAAACTATCTTAAGCCAAAACTTATGTTTGGACCTATATGGTTAAAATAGGAATAAGCCAATTTAGTATCCCTTTTAAAAGGGACTGATTTCTTTTTCCTAAAAGAAAAAGTGTAAGGCAAACTTGACACAGTTAATAGAAACATTTTTGTTCTTAGCAAGATGATTAATTTTGACCACATCAACATTGACATCTCCAGTTTATCTCTAGGAACAGCTACTAATATAATCATATCCATATCCAATTAAGGGCAGGTTGAGATGAGGAGTGTATTGAAAACTAAATGCACTTAAGTTATTAGGATATAAATTCTTTTTATTTGAATAGATACTGTTTACTTTTCACACAATAGGATTTACAACCAGAACTTTCAGTTTACAGAAGTGTTTCTTTTTATCCAGAGATATTGGAAAAGAGGCACACGCAGACCAGCACACATCATGAGCAACAAAAAGAACATATTCTAGAATTAAGCAAACAAACAAACAAAAACACTAGAGTACATGGAGGTCAAGGAACATTTAAATCAAATTAAACCAGCTTTTTCCAATAACTTTCTGTGGTAGATACTCAAGATTTCTTTGGAATTTAAGGAAAAAGCAATGTCATATTCCGCAACGTTAAATGTCAAATCCGAATACGCTAATACATTTAATTCATTGTGTAGAATATCTAATTCTCAATATCTTACTCTGTTCTAGTAAAAGGTGATTCAGAATTGGGCTTTGAAATTTAGGCATTGACGATAAAACCTTATCAAAAGTAAATTATAATAAAGGTAGACTTTCCTGAAGATCAAAGGAAATAAAGGAATAAAGAAACACTTGAACCTGATCCTGTGAGTATGAAAGTGGTAAGCAAATGGGTTGGTATTATCTCAATATGTTTAAAACTTGAAGCATGCTCTTGATAAAAACAAGTTATTAATGTTTCTTAACTAAGCAATCCTTATACATTAGCAAAAGATAGAAGCCATGGATGAAAATTCTAAATGCAGTTTTCTCCTTCCATTATTCCAGCGAACAATGCAAAACAAGACTGTACCACTTTACCTTTGGAAGCCTTCAAATAGTAATACTAGCTAGCAGGGATAATTTAGAAAAATGCTTTGTGCTAATGCTAGATTACTTTTACATTATTCGTACTTGCTATGTATAAGGAAATCAATAATTACAAATCTTTCAGGAAAAAACTAGAATTGCTTTAAAAATACCTCATAAAGCATGATTTAAAAAATCAAACAAGGCCAGGTACAGTGGCTCATGTCTATAATCCCAGCACTTCAGGAGGCTGAGGCAGCGTAATCAATTGAGCCTAGGAGTGCAAGAGCAGCCTGAGAAACACAGCAAGACTATGACTCTATAAATAATAATAATAAAGTAATCATAATAAAAAGACTTCCGCTCCCTCAGCTCTCTTGCACTACCCAAGGCCAGGACTTGAGTGAGGCACTTGCCTCAGGTGCAAAATCAAGGGAGATTGGATCAAGAAGCTCATAAAGCATAATAAATACAAAAATAACCAAACAAATAATAAACTTTTTATATTAAGATGATAAAGCAATTAAAAATCGATTTTTTCAAAAATGGAGGTAAAACATAAAATATATACTATATTTATTTTGTTTCACTTTAGCTATGTAAAGAATGCTTGTATGAGATGCCTCTGGTTGATATAGATACAAAAAAGCAGATTTCATTTTGTAAATACAGTGATTGAATTTGGGAAGATTTTTCTTTAAGAATTCAGGATTCCTCTTGTTGCCTATCCAAAGAAATAATTCTTACATCAACTTTCTAGAAGTACACTAATGCAGATAATATTTCTGTCCTTACCGGCTAATCAAATTTAATCAAGGAACATTATTAAAATGTTCTTGAATATATATCATTATAGAAAATTGATAAAGAAATCTCAGATTATTCAAAGCACCTAAATAGGATGACTCTAGATATTAGTGGCACTGGGGGCTTTTATACAAAAATGAGAACACTTTCCCCCAATTAGAATACATTTCCTTTTCAAGCACACATAAAACATTCAAAAACGTAGACCATATTCAAAGACAAAGAAAAAAAATCTGAACTAATTTTAAACACTAGAAATCATATAAACTGTATTATGCGGCCATAATATAATTAAAGTAGAAATTTAAAAAATATATATGGAGAAGTTCTCAAAACTTTGAAAATTAGTTTACCCACACAAATAATGTAAGAAATGACTGGGTGTGATGGCTTATGCCTGTAATCCTAGCACTTTTGGAGGCCAAGGTGGGCAGATCACCGGAGCTCAGGAGTTTGAGACTAGCCTGGGCAACATGGCAAAACTCCATCTCTTCTAAAAGTACAAAAAAATTAGCCAGGCATGGTGGCAGGTGCGTGTAAACCCACCCACTCAGGAGGCTGAGGCACAAGAATCCCTTGAACCCAGGAGGTGGAGGTTACAGTACGCTGAGATGGTGCCACTGCACTCCAGCCTGGGAGACAGAGAGAGACTCTGTCTCAAAAAAAGAAAAAAAAAAAAAAGAAAGAAAATGAATTCTCAAGAAAATTAAAACATTTTGAGCTCATAAGACAGTATTTCAAAAATTGTATGATGCAGTTAAAATAGTATTCACAAGGAAATGTGCAGTCTATATTACAAATCTAAAGTTAATAATCAGGGTTTCTAAGTTAATAAAATAGAAAAATAAAATTAAAAATAAACCCAAAGAAAGCGGAAGAAATAATAAAGATCAAAGTAAAAATCAATGAAAAAGAAAATTTAAAGATGTAGAGAAAAATAAAGAAAATCTAAAGTTGGTTCTGTTATTTGAAGAATCAATAAAACTGATAAATCTCCAGCCAGTCTGATGGGGGGAAAAAAAAAAAAAAGAAAACAAGTGACAGGAAGTACTCTTTGGTACTCTTTGCCAATATCAAGAACAAAAGAAGTAATAGCACTCTAGTATTACAGATATTAAAAGAATGATAAGGAAATAATAAAACAACTTTATGCCCATGAATCCAAAAACTTAGATTAAATTGACAAATTTCTTGTAAGACATAATCTCACAAAACTGAAAACTTGAATAGCACTATACTTATTAAATAAATTAAATTTTTAGTTTAAAATTTTTGTTTAAAATTCAGTTCAGGACTCAGATGATTTTACTAGTGAATATGAGAAAATAATACCTATTTCACACAGTTTATTTCAAAAAACAAAGATGAAAATACTTCTCAAAGTATTTACTGTAATATCAAAAACAGACGAAGGCATTACAAGCAAAGAAAACCATAAATATTACTGGTGAACTTAGATTAAAAAATTCTCAACAAGATATTAACAAATTGAACATAACAATGTATATAAAGCATAATCAATCAAGACCAAGTGGAATTTGACCTCAGGAATGCCAGATTGTCAACATTTGGAAGTAGATTAATGTATTTCACCATAATTGGCTAAATACGAAAAATACTGTTGACTATCGCGATAATGGAGAAAACTTATTTAAGAATATTTAATGCTCTTTTATTATAAAAATACTCAGTAAACTAGAAAGAGAAAGGAACTTTCTTTACCTGATAAATGGCCTCTACAAGAAACCATAGGGCTAACATTATATTTAATGGTCAAAGACTGAATGTGTTGCCCTATGATTGGAATAAAAGCAAAAACGTCCCCTCTTACCACTCCATGATACTTGAACTCCTAGCCAGTGCATAGGAAATAGATGGAATGCAGACTAGATACAACTACATACAATTGTCTCTATTTTTGGATGACACACTTGTATATATAAAAGTACTAAAAAGAAGTTCCACTGAAATGCTATAAGAACGAATAAAAGAGTTTAGAAATGTCATTGGAGACAAAATCAACATGCAAATATCAATTGTGCTTTTTTTATAGTCGTAAAAATCACATAACATTAGCTCTACCCTCTTAGTAAATATTTAATTGTCTAGTACAGTACAATATTGCTAACTGTAAGTGCAATGTTGTATAGTAAATCTCCAGAACTTTCTAATCTTTCATTACTAAAACTTTATAACTATTGTCAAAGAATCTTTAGAGTGTCACCTTGCCAGCCAGAAACCTCTGTGGCTGGTGGCGCCCCTGCTTGAGTTTTGCTGATGCCCACTGGGCTCATTCCACCCACTCAGCCTGGCAGGCTGGGCTCGGCTCAGGCTACTGGCCCCCATCCCATGACCACCAAGGGTGAGCCGGGAGCCAAGTGGCTCCTGAAAACTTGGTGCAGAGCGGTGAGGGGAGTGTGAGTGAGAGAGTCAAGGGTCCAGCCACTGCACACAGCAGTGCACTGGCTGCTGCCGTGGGGCGGGCAGCTCCAGGCACCAGCACAGGTGCCGGTTCCCTGTAAAGCTGCAGTTGCACCAGGCCTACTGCAAGCAGCTTCTGCCACGAGAACCAGTGTCTAGAGGAGAGGAATGCAGTGGCGCCTGAAAACTCAGAGACAACAGCAACCGTGGAGCCCCAAGGGGTCGGGGGCGGGGTGTGTTACAACTCTCTTGTTCCTGCCACCCACAGTGTGATGAATTGGGGCAGAGGCGTATTTCAGCCCGTTTGTGTTACAGCTTGTTCAGTCTCACTGCCCTGCTTTGGCCTGTGGCTCCTGGTCTGGCCTGACAACTGCTTTCCATCATGTGGGGTGGCCACCCAACCCTGGAGGAGGGTGGGAGGACTATAGTGAAACAGCTTTGGCTCAGGGAATCCTAAGGTCTGGGCCTCCAGAAGGGTCGCCACTCTTCACTCCTGCAGTCCAATGAATGAGAGTGTATCACTGCCCACAGATCAGTAAGCCAGCCAGTAAATTGTTACAGCCCTTTTTGCACCTGCTGTTTGGTGGGTCCCGAGTTCTTGCCCGGTATCTAGGAAGAATGAGGTTACCCAAACAACTGGAGGCTGAGCAAGTTGGAGAAGAGTTTCATTCAGCAGCAGAACAACTCTCAGGGTAGAGGAGATTGGAAGTGGGTAGCTCTACCCGCAGGGGAGTAGTCTTAACATGTGTCTAGGTTTGTCTGAATCTGGGGTTTTTAAGGGCTCAGAATGGAGGCAGTGCATGCTGATTGGTCCATGGGTGGGCCCAGAAAAAGCACCATCTGACTGTCCAAAAGATATAAAGGAAGTTTCCATTCTGAGTCATGGACTCCCCGCAGAACTGGCAACCCAGACCCCAGGCTTCAGGCAGTCCCTGGATTGAAGGTCGGGCCTCACCAGGATCCCATCCCTTCCTGCCTAGGAACCTGTCTGCCTCCCACCACCATCACTATTAAAAATCAACTTCTCACTTACTTTTCCCCCAGCACCTAGAAACCAACATTCTACCTGCTGCTTTTATGAGTTTCAGTATTTGCATACCTCATGTAACCAGAAGCTTGCAATGTTTGTCCTAATGTGACTGGGCTATTTCACAAAACATAATGTTTAAAGATTCATTCATGTGGTAACATATTACAGGCTTTTGTACTTTTTATGACTGAATAGTATTCTAGTGTTTGCATATAATTTTTTTTATCCATTCCCCTCTCAGTGGACATTTACATTGTTTCTACTTCTTTGATATTATGACTAATGCTGCAAAGAATATGAGAGTGCAAATGTCTCTTCAAGATTCGGCTTTCAATTATTTTGGTTGATTACTCAGACGTGGAATTGCTTGATCATATTGGAGTTACACTGTTAATTTTTTTACAAATCTCCATAATATTTTCCATATTGCCTACACCATTTTACATTCTTACTAACAGTGCAGAAGTTTTCCAATATCTTCACAACCTTAATAACACTGGCTATTTTTGTTTTGTTTTAAATATGGACTGCCGTGATAGATGTGAGGTAATATCTTATGGTTTGATTTACAATTTTATGATAATTGGTGATGTTGAACTTACTTCATATATCTCTTGATCATATATATGTCTTTTTTGAAAAAAATGTCTATTCAATTCATTTGCTCATTTTTCAGTTATTTGATGGGGTTATGTTTTTTTTTTTACTGAGTTGTAGTAAGTCCTTATGCATTTTGGATATTAATCTCTTAACAGATACATAATTTGCAATTATTTTCTCCAAGTACACAGATGAGTTTTTCAGTTTGTTTATTGTTTACTGTGCAGAAGCTTTTTAGTATAATGCAATCTCACTTACCTATTTTAGCTTTTGTGACTTGTGCTTTTAGTGTCAAATCTAGTAAATCACTGACAAGACTAATATCACAAACCTTTCCATGTATGTTTCCTTTCAGGAGTTTTACCATTTAAAGTCTGTTGTTTAAGTCTTCAATCTAGTCTGAACTGATTTTTGAGCATAAGAGAAAAGTTTCAATTTTATTATTTTTTATGTGGGTATCCAGTTTTCACAATACTATTTGTTGAAGGTACTCTCCTTTCCTCTTTGTGTATTCTTGGCACCTTTGCTAAAATCAGTTGACCATATATATGTGTGAATTTACTTCTGGGCTCTCTATTCTGTTCTGTTAATCTATGTGTCTGTCATTAATGCCAGTAACATACTAGTTTAATTACTGTAGCTTTGTAATATGTTCTCAAACCAGGAAACATAAATCCTCTGGCTTTGTTCTTTTTCAAGATTATTTTGGCTATTCTATACGTTGTAGCTTCATATAAATGTTGAGATTCTTATCTCTTTCTGTAAAAAATGCTCTTTGCATTTTGATGGGAATTGTATTAAATGTGTAGATCACTTTGGGTAGTATGGACATTTAATAATATTAAATCTTCCAATCCATGAACACGAGATATCTTTTTATTTATTTGTATCTTTTTCCATTTCTTTCATTAAAGTATAATAATGTTTACTGTCCATGTCTTTTGCCTCCTTGATTAAGTTTATTTCTAAATATTTTATTCTTTTTGATGCTGTTGTAAATGGGATTATCATAATAGTTTTTTTTTAAGTTCTTTTCTGTTAATATATAGAAACATAACTGACTTTTGTATGCTGGTTTTGTATCCTGCAGCTTTATTGAATGAATCCATTTATAGTGTAGCTTTATAATCTTATTGAGTCCCTTGTGTACTTCAGCTTTTCTTTTTTCTTTTTTTTTTTTTTTTTTTTTTTTTTTTTTGAGATGGAGTCTCACTCTGTTGCCCAGGCTGGAGTGCAGTAGTGCAGTCTCGGTTCACTGCAACCTCTGCTTCCTGGGTTCAAGCGACTCTTGTGCCTCAGCCTCCCAAGTAGCTGGGACTACAGGTGCATGCCACCACGCCTGACTAATTTTTGTATTTTTAGTAAAGACTGGGTTTTACTATGTTGACCAGGCTGGTCTTCAAGTCATCCACCCGCCTTGGCCTCTCAAAGTGCCGGGATTACAGTCATGAGGAACCAAACCCACCCTCATTAATTTTCAAGATTGTTTTGTCGTTCTAATCCCATTGAATTTTTATATAGATTTTAGAATCAATATATCAATCTCTATAAAAGTGCCCGCCTGATTATATTACAATCATAGCTATTGCATTGAATCTGTAAATCCAATTTGGAAAAATTTTCATCACATCAATATTAGTTTTTCAGTCTGTGAACACAATAGAGCTCTCAATTTATTTAGTTTTTTTTTTCTTTTCTTTCTGTCAAGAGTGTTTCTTAGTTTTCAACACAAATATGCTGTAATGTTGAATTCATACCCAACTATTTTATTTTTGGTGCTATATTATGTGATAATTAAAAAAAATTCCAATTCCTCATTGTTAGTATATGAAAACAAAATTGATGTTTGGGACATCAGCAAGATGGCCAAACGGGAAGTTCTAAATATTCCTTCCCATGAAGACACCAATTCCATTTGTGAGAAGACCAAAAACATTTTTTTTTGAGATGAAGCCTCATTCTGTTACCCAGGTTGGAGGGCAGTGGTACAATCTCGGCTCACTGCAACCTCCACCTCCCGGGTTCAAGCAATTCTCCTGCCTCAGTCTCCTGAGTAGCTGAGAATACAGGTGTCCACCACCACGCCCAGCTAATTTTTGTATTTTTAGTAGAGACAGAGTTTCACAACGTTGGCCAGACTGGTCTTGAACTCTTGACTTCAGGCAATCTGCCCACCTTGCCCTCCCAAAGTGGTGGGATTACAGGTGTGAGCCACTGTGCCCAGCCCCAATAACTATTTAAAAGGCTCCTGCACCCCAGCTAGTGTGAAACAAGCTTCATCAAAGGTGGTAGAGAAACTTTTGCCATCCTCACACCATAGTCCTTTCCTCTAATGCAGAACCACATGTTCAAAAGAATTCGGACCTCCTAGCTTCTCCTAGGGAAGTGAAACTAAAGACTAGACTATACATTCAACATTCTGATTTTAAGTGGAAGGGATCCAAGGAACTGGACTTTGTCTCATCTGACGCAGAGTACTGATCAGACCCTGCACACCCTGAGTGCCTGGGGACCACTGAGAATATGAAGAGCTAGATGTTGTGCATATCCTCCAGTAGACACATAGAACAGAGAATGGAGGATTACACACCACAGAAGCTCGCAGAAAGGAAAGAAAAGAGTGGAGCACGTGTTCAATGTTCTGGCTTTTGAGGAACTGCCGAAGGGACTAATTTCTGTCTAGCCCAACTCACAAAGTTGATGGGAATCTAGCACATTCTAAATGCCTGAATGCTACTAAAAACAAACACACAAAAAGTTTTGTGGCATGTTGTTTGTATAATTTTGTTCTCACACTGCTGTAAAGAACTGCCAGAGACTAGGTAATTTATGAAGGAAAGGGGTTTAATTGACTCACAGTTCATGGCTGGGGAGGCCTCAGGCAACTTAAAATCATGGTGGAAGGGGAAACAAACACATTCTTCACATGATAGCAGGAAGGAGAAGTGCCAAGCAAAGAGGAAAAAGTCCCTTATAAAACCAGCAGATCATGTGAGAACTCACTCACTATCACAAGAACAGTAGCATGCATGTAAACGCCCTCATGATTCAATTACCTCCCACTGGGTCCTTCCCACAGCATGTGGGGATTATGGGAACTACAATTCAAGATGAGATTTGGGAAGGGACACAAAGCCAAACCATGTCATTCTGCCCTGACCCCTCCCAAATCTCATGTCCTCACTTTTCAAAACACAATACTGCTTTCCCAACAGGGAAAGTCTTAATTCATTCCAACATTAACCCAAAAGTCAAAGTCTACAGTCTTATCTGAGACAAGGCAAGTCTTTTCTGCCTATGAGCCTTTAAAATCAAAAGCAAGTTTGCTACTTCCTAGACACAATGGGGTTACAGACATTTGGTAAGTAAACCCATTCCAAATAGGAGAAATTGGCCAAAACTAAGGGGCCACTGGCCTTATGCAAGTCCAAAATCTAGTGGGGAAGTCAAATCTTAAAGCTCCAAAATGATCTTCTTTGACTCCATGTCTCAGATCCAAGTCACACCAATGCAAGAGGTGGGCTCCCATAGCCTTGGACAGCTTTACCCCTGTAACTTTGCAGAGAACAGCCCCATCTTGGCTGCCTTCAGGGGCTGACATTGAATGTCTGTGGCTTTTCCAGGTGTAAGATGCAAATGGTTGGTAAATCTACCATTCTGGGGTCTGAAGGATGGTGGACCTTTTCTCATGGCTCCACTAGGCAATGCCACAGTAGGGATTCTGGGATCCAATCCCACATTTCCCTTCCACTCTACATTGCCCTAGCAGAGGTTCCCCATGAGGGCTGTGCCCCTACAGCAAACTTCTGTCTGGACATCTAGGCATTTTCATATGTTTTTTAAAATCTAGGCAGAGGTTGCCAAACCTCAATTCTTGACTTCTGTGCACCCATAGGCTCAATACCACATGGAAACTGCCAAGGCTTAGGGCTTGCACATTCTGAAGGCATGGCCTGACCTGTATGTTGTCCCCTTTTAGCCACAGCTGGAATGCATGGTACCAAGTCCTGAGGTGGCACAAAGCAGCAAGGCCCTGAGCCTGGCCCAGGAAACCATTTTTTCCTCCTAGGCCTCCAGGTCAATAATGAGAGCAGCTGCCATGAAAACCTCTGTAATGCCTTGGAGAAATTTTCCCCATTGCCTTGATGATTAACATTTGGCTCCTTGTTCCTTAGGCAAATTTCTGCATCCAGCTTGAATTTCTTCACAGAAAATGAGTTTTTTTCTGTGCATCATCAGGCTACAAATTTTTTGAATTTTTTTGCTCTGCTTCCTTTTTAAACATAAGCTCTAATTCCAAAGCATGTCTTTGTGAATACATAAAACTGAATGCTTTTAACAGCACGCAGGTCACATCTTGAATGCTTTGCTGCTTAGAAATTTCTTCCACCATATACCCTAAATCATCTGTCTCAAGTATAAAGTTCCACAGATCTCTAAGGCAGGGGCAAAATGGTGACAGTCTCTTTGCTAAAACATAGCAAATGTACCTTTATTTCAATTCCCAACAAGTTCCTCATCTCCATCTGAGACCACCTCAACCTAGACTTCATTGTCTATATTCCTATCAGCATTTTGATAAGAGCCATTCAACAAGTCTCTAGGAAGTTCCAAACTTTCCCATATTTTCCTGTCTTCTTCTGAGTCCCCCAAACTGTTCGAACCTCTGCCTGTTACTCAGTTCCAAAGTCACTTTCAAATTTTTGGTTATTTTTAGAGCAGCAACCCACTACCTGATACCAATTTATTGTATTAGTCAATCCTCAGGCTGCTATAAAGAACTGCCTGTGTCTGGGTAATTTATAAAGGAAAGTGGTTTAATTGACTCACAGTTCCACATGACTTGGGAGGCCTCAGGAAACTTACAATCATGGCAGAAGGAGAAGCAAACATGTCCTTCTTCACATGATGGCAGGAAAGAGAAGTGCTGAGCAAAGCAGGAAATGCCCATTATAAAACTGTCAGATCTTGTGAGAACTCACTCACTATCATGAGGATAGCAGCATGGGAGTAACTGCCCCTGTGATTCGATTACCTCCCACTGGATCCTTCCCATGACAAGTAGGAATTATGGGAACTGCAATTCAAGACATAATTTGGGTGGGGACACAGCCAAGCCATATCGCTGCTGCTTCAGAGGACCCACATTACAGCAGACAGAAAGCTCGCATGATCAAGAAAAGCTGAAATATACAAACTACTCATTAGGATTATAGAGCTATAGTAATGAAGCTCCATAGTGTGGCATTGGCACTAAAGACTTCTCGATTTAAGCAAGAGTGTAAGGAACATAGAACTAAACCAAACCAATATAGACAAGTGATATTTGGCAATGGTACTAAAACAATTCAATAGAGAAAAAAAAAATCATTCAAATCCATGATGACAGACAAATTAACCCCAAATTTAAAATAATTTTTTATCCCTATTTAACAAGTTTATTGTGAGAGTTAACAAGGGGATGGATTTTTTTTTTTTTACTTTTGATTTGAATTTTAGGTTTGGGGGTGCATGTGCAGGTTTGTTACAAGACTATATTGTATGATACTGAAACTAGAGGTACCTGAACCCATCTGCCAGGTAGTGAGCACAGTATTCAATAGGTAGGTTTTCAACACTTGCCCTATCAGTTCCCTCTCCTCTCTGTTAGTCCCCTGTGTCTATTGTTTCCATCCATATGTCCATGTATACCCAACGTTTAATTGCATCTCACCTATACAGAAATAAAAAATAGATGTCTTAAGTGTAAAATAAAAACAGCAAAACAGCACAACTTATAAAAGAAAAAAGTAAAATCTAGAATTATTAAAATCAAAAAATGTTTTTTGGTACACACAGACACAAAGATGGGCAAAATAAGCAATAAGGATTCCAGAAGGAGAGAGGAAAGATAGAGACAAAGTTTGAAAACTACCTGTCATGTACTATTTTTACTACTTGGAAACGACATAGTTAAAAAACCATATCTGCATCATTCAATACACCCATGTAACAACCTGCACATGTAGTCATTGAATCTAAAATAAAATAAAATAAAAAATTGTGTTTGCTCTGTAAAGATATTATTTAAAAAAACTCCCAGACTAAGAAAAAATATTTATAAATCAAAATTTTAAAAAACTCTGAAAATTGAAAAATGTGAAAAAAATGAAAAACATTGGTAAAAAGTCTGAACAGACACCTTACCAAAACAGAAATTCAGATGGAAAGAAAACATTTGAAATATGCTCAAAAATGCAAATATAAAACCAAATGAGCTAAGGTGTTACCACTGCCTATCTTAAATGCATACCAAAAAAATCTAGCAATAGGAAGTACTGATGAGGATGATAAGTAATTGAAACTCTCATACACTGCTGGTGGACATTATTTTGAAGAGCTAGAAATTTTTAAAAAATTACACATTCACTTACTGTATGACCCAGAAATCTCACTCCCATGTGTCTACTCAAGATAAATGAAAACTTACGGTGACACACAAACCTCTAGGTGAATGTTTCTGGCAGCATTATTCAGGATTACCAGAAATCATTAATAATATATACTTCAATTGGTGAATGAATAAATTGTGGTATCCATACAGTGTGGTACTACTAAACAATAAAAAGGGATAAACTTGATTCACGCAACAACATGAATGAAGCTGAAATTCATTTTGCTAAGTGAAAATGCAAGCCAAAAAGCTATTTATTATCCATTTTATTCACACAACACTCTGTAAAAGGCAAAGTTTTATTGTGGAAAATAGATCAATGTTTACAAGAGTTCAGAGTGGGAGAGGAGTTGTCTCTAAAGATGTAGTACCATGTAGCATAATACCTGTTTTCTATTGCTCCTATAACAAGTTATCACAAAATTAGTGTCTTAAGAAAGAATAAATTTATTATCTTATTATCTTACCATTTTGTATGTTAGAAGCAGAAGAAGTTTGTATGTTAGAAGTAGAAGATAATACTATCTTACTATCTTACCATTTTGTATGTTAGAAGTCTGAAACGGATGTCATTGTGCTACCTATCCACTGAGAGAAGCTGGATAGAGAGAAACCCAGTATCTATAAGCACACCTAATGCCTAGCCACTGGTTTCTAAAATCTTCTTCACTGAAAGAACACAAGGATTCTTGGAGAACCTGTTGATTCCAGTGTACTATAAGATGAGTCCAAAGCATCTGATGTTGCCAGAAATAAATGATAAATAAAATAATAAACTGTGGAAGCATATTACAAAAAAGGCACAGGCATCAAACTGAAAGGAATTCCAATGGCCAAAGTTGGAATAATTTGGTCACACCATAAGTAAGCGTAGTATTGTGTTATAACGCCCCAAAATTAAATAAGTATTCACAATTTTATAGTGATATATGTGAATAACCAACTAAGTAAGTGAAGGAATATTTCTTTCTTACACAGAACAGAGCCCTCAGAAATAATACCACACATCTACAACCATCTGATCTTTGACAAACCTGACAAAAACAAGCAATGGGGAAAGGATTCCCTATTTAATGAATGGTGCTGAGAAAACTGGCTAGCCATATGTAGAAAGCTGAAACTGGACCCCTTCCTTACACCTTATAAAAAAATTAATTCAAGATGGATTAAAGACTTAAATGTTAGACCTAAGACCATAAAAACCCTAGAAGAAAACCTAGGCAATACCATTCAGGACATAGGCATGGGCAAGGACTTCAAGTCTAAAATACCAAAAGTAATGGCAACAAAAGCCAAAATTGACAAATTGGATCTAATTAAATTAAAGAGCTTCTGCACAGCAAAAGAAACTACCATCAGAGTGAACAGGCAACCTACAAAATGGGAGAAAATTTTTGCAATGGGAGAAAATTTTTGCAATCTACTCATCTGACAAAGGGCTAATATACAGAATCTACAAAGAACTCAAATAAATTTACAAGAAAAAAACAAACAACCCCATCAAAAAGTGGGTGAAGGGTATGAACAGACACTTCTAAAAAGAAGACATTTATGCAGCCAATGGACACATGAAAAAAATGCTCATCATCACTGGCCATCAGAGAAATGCAAATCAAAGCCACGCTGAGATACCATCTCATACCAGTTAGAATGGCGATCATTAAAAAGTCAGGAAACAACAGGTGCTGGAGAGGATGTGGAGAAATAGGAACATTTTTACACTGTTGGTGGGACTGTAAACTAGTTCAACCATTGTGGAAGTCAGTGTAGTGTTTCCTCAAGGATCTAGAACTAGAAATACCATTAGACCCAGCCATCCCATTACTGGGAATATACCCAAAGGATTATAAATCATGCTGCTATAAAGACACATGCACACGTATGTTTATTGTGGCACTATTCACAATAGCAAAGACTTGAAACCAACTCAAATGTCCATCAATGATAGACTGGATTAAGAAAATGTGGCACATATACACCATGGAATCTATGCAGCCATAAAAAAGGATGACTTCATGTCCTTTGTAGGGACATGGATGAAGCTGGAAGCCATCATTCTCAGAAAACTACTGCAGGGACAAAAAACCAAACACCACATGTTCTCACTCATAGGTGGGAATTGAACAATGAGAACACTTGTACACAGGGTGGGGAACATCACAGACCAGGGCCTGTCATGGGGTGGGGGGAGGGGGGAGGGAGAGCATTAAGAGATATACCTAATGTAAATGACGAGTTAATGGGTGCAGCACACCAACATGGCACATGTATACATATGTAACAAACCTGTACGTTGTGCACATGTACCCTAGAACTTAAAGTATAATAATAAAAAAGAAGATTTTTAACTAACAATTGTAGGGGGAACCAGGGAAATAGAAAATCACCATTAGAAAACTACAGTAATAATTGCTGCCTGCAGGAAAGACTGATGGATGCTAAAATTAGCAGGAAAAAGTTGAACAAAATCCCAACATATGCATAGACTCTAGATTTATTTTCCAAACATTTAGCAAATACAAAGAGAAAAATAGTGAGCCTACAGTGACAAATTCTGGCAAACATCACTTTACTGAGTGATCAATGTTAGTACCACCAGTTTTTATATTATGCACCCCATGATATGCTGCGATTGAAAAGGGCGTATCACCTTTGGGGCATTCTTCTCAATAATGTAAGTTCAATATAACCGTAAGAAAATACCAGGCAAATTCAAATACAGCAACAATCTGTAAAATAACTGACTACTTCTCTTCAAAAGTGTTAATGCAATTTTAAAAAAACAGAGAAATGATAAATAACTATCACAGTTACAGAATTCTATGAAGAAGTGAACACTAAATGTAATGTAGCATCCCAAAGCAAAGAAATGACAGTCACAAAAAATCTGGTGAAACCTCCTAAAATTCTGTACTTTTATCAATAGTATTGATCCATGGTTAATCTAGTTTTGACAAATGTTCTACAATTCCGTAAGATGATAGGAAATAGATAGTTTTGTGAAGGACATATAGAAATTCATTATACTATTCTTGTGAAACTATTTTGTCAGTCTAAAATTACCTTTTAAAAAAGGAACTACTAAATTAAAGCTGCTAATATTGAGGGATAAAACAAACAAATTCCAAACACTTTAGCTATATGTTTAAACTTTACTTTTCGAAGAGAGATTAATACTACATTTTACAAAATCTAATAGTAAAAATAAGACTAGAAATATATATATATATATATATATATATATATATATATATATATATATATATATTTTTTTTTTTTTTTTTTTTTTTTTTTTTTTTTTTTTTTGTGAGACGGAATCTTGCTCTGTCACCCAGGCTGGAGTGGAGTGGCGTGATCTCGGCTCACTGCAAGCTCCATCTCCCGGGTTCACGCCATTCTCCTGCCTCAGCCTCCCGAGCAGCTGGGACTACAGGCGCCCGCCACTGCGCTCGGCTAATTTTTTTTTTTTTTTGTATTTTTAGTAGAGACGGGGTTTCACCGTGGTCTCGATCTCCTGACCTCGTGATCCACCTGCCTCGGCCTCCCAAAGTGCTGGGATTACAGGCGTGAGCCACCGCGCCCAGCTAATAGTAGAAATATTTTAAATTTCTAGTAATTATTTTGTATTTGTACAGTGTCTTAGGAGGGTAGCTGATCTCTTCAGAAACAGATAAAAAACTGATGAGTTAATGAAACTAATTCTTTTTCTTCTGATTGCTATCTAGCTTTCTGAAACCTATAAATCTATAAAAGCTGATACAATCCTACAGGAAACAAAAAGATAGATACTAGTATTAATAACTAATGCTAAAATGAAAGGATAAGACCTATAGCCAACTGTATTAGTGATTTTTCTGTCACATCATTTATATAAAATAATGAATTTGCTAACCAACTTTATAATGTCTTTCAGCTCATCTTATAGCATGCGTGGCAGCCTTCATAAACACCAGCACTAGACAGCTCACATTAGATTCTCACAAACAATTAACAAAGGTTATTGGAAAAATAATATTTGGTGGGCATTTTTCCTGTGGTGCCATTAGTTTTCAACTTAATCGTAGTGTTTCTATCTAATCTAAGCGTGACACCCATGAAATAACACAGGTAGCATTAGGATGATGGGGGCCGTTAGGTCCTTTTAGTTAGAACAGTTTATTTCTTGCACTTCAGCTTCTTTTGTCACTCTGGCGTTTTCAACTGCAGAAGATTTGTCTGTGAGAGAGGAAAGTTTGAATCTGATCTGGCTCTGCCTTTCTTAACAATGTGCTTGAAAGTGACATAAAACTTTTCAAGTTCGAAGAAATACCCATTAAAAAAAAAACAGCAAAATAGCTTTTCTCTCACAATGAATGCTTTAAACTTCCTCCCTGTGGGGAGAAAAGGCAGCTTTAAAGAAAAAAACATAATAATCCCTGCATTATTGAAAATGCATCAGTCTCCCTCGGCTTCATTGTCAGTTTCCACCATTGTGTGTTGAGAGACAGCTCTGTCAGATTTGAGTCTTGTGGTTATCTGGTGGAGTTGATATGGCAATTGAAAATGTCATCCTGATGGGAACTAGACAGATATAATCTCATTTTATTTGAAGGAAATCAAGCTATGCCATAAAGGAGTTTATCAGTGAGTCTTAATTAAGGCTCAGATAAATTATTAGTGTTATAAATATAAAATTATTATTTTTTTCCAAAGAAAATGTATAGTTAATTGGGTCACTTTACAGTGAAATGCTTAACTGGAAATTAAATTTGTGGAATTGCTTTTCTTTTCTCTAGTGAAGAAGGTGTCAAAGTATATCATAAATGACAAGGCACTGGAATGGTAGAGATGTGTAGTAAACTATTGGAGAACTGTTCTCCATTTTCCTTAGCCTACCCCACTTTCATGTTGTTCCTTACCACATTGCTACAGGGCTAGACCATATGACAGGTTTTGGTCAATAGGATAATAGCAACCATGATGCAAGGTGAAAAGTAAATAATGTTTGTACAATGCAACTTTGCTTCTCTTGCTGCTGTTGAAACCCCTTCAACTGCCACTACGTGAAGAAGACCAAACTGTACATATAATAAGAGAAACACATGGTTCATTTTTTATCATTCTGGCTAATGGTCAGCCAAACTCAAAAAGCAAAGGTGCTCAGATGAATGGAGTAATACCAGTGACCCTAGACAAAACCAAAAGAAGAGATGTTGCAACACAAGATGCCCAGGTGAGTCCTCTTAATTATGAGCTAAATAAATGCTTATTATTTTAAGCCAATAAATATTTTTATGTTGCTAAATCTACCACAGTACAAGATACTTTGGAATCACTTGCAAAGTCTTTCTTAGAGTAATGTAATACCCTGAAGCACGCAGAAAGAAAAATATAGAGTGAATAGCACATTGCATTGAGACAAGATTATATAATCAGGCAATTTGTGCCTGGCCAATTCAAAAGGAAAATTGTGAGAGCCCTAGGAATTATGTCCAAGAGAGCAAAAGGGCCATGTTTACTGCCCTATGTGTTAGTAGATGATCCATGAATTTCATAGATTGTGATGCCATCTCACATAATGACAGTTAGTTGTATAACTCTGCTAGACCATTTGTATTTTTAGTAGAGACGGAGTTTCGCCATATTGGTCAGACTGGTCTCGAACTCCTGACCTCAGGTGATGAGGTGATCAGTTTCCAATATTTTTATATGTAACAAAATAAACCATAAAGTTAATAGGCAAATCTCATTTGCATCTTGATTAAAACAAACTAGTTGCAAAGAAACTTTTTTTAATCAATCAGCAAAATATTGAAACTGAGCAGGCAATAGTGATATTAAATTAAATTTTCTTAAGTGTGATACCAGGATTGTGATATCATTAAAAAGTCATTATCTGTTAAAGATGTGTAATAAGGCATTTTTTTAGTGAAATGATTTGTTTTCTTAGATTTCCTTTAAAATACTCTAGACTCCCACCTCCTTTAAAAAGGGGGAAAGAGATGAAAAAAAATGGCTGTTAGTGATTATCAATGCAGAATTAAGGATACTCATGCTCATTATGTTATCATCTACTTTTATATATGCTTTTTAAAAGTTTACATTTTAAAAATTAAAAATTATGATTCTATCATTACTTTTCATAAGTTATGGCATTATCAGCCTGATGAAATTTCTTTTTTCTCCTCATTGGAGTTGAAAAAGAGACTCCAACAGTTCTCTGAACAAAGACGTCCTAGCATTCTTCAGATACTTTGAAGACTCTAGCCCAAGAGGGAGATGTCATATTTCCTGTTAATGGAGTAGATAGAAGCCAAAGCAATTAATTGGGAAATAAATGATACTACAATATTTTCCTTAATATGCTGAGCAGTTCAGACTGGTTATATTTCTCGTCATTTTTTTCTTATCTCTCTGAAAGATTTCTTCTAAGAATGCTTGATGTCATTTTATAATATAAAATTAGGGTTGATATTTTGCCTTACTGCATTTCTCTACATCATACAATTCTTCTAATATTTTACATGACAAGAATGCAATGGAGGGTAAAAGATAAACTAGTAAACTGAAAACAATTCTAAGGAGAAAATATGTAAATCACAAAATACTTAAATAAGGTAATGTCAAGTTAGCCATTTTTCAACTACTAGGACTAAGCACCTACCACATGGCAGGAATATTTTGGGTTCCAAAAATTTGGGAATGTTTAAATCAGGTGAAGCCTCAACGATTGTGCTTGTTATGGTCTAGTACAGAACACAGATATTAAACCATAAATATGGCATGAAAAATGCAAAATAATAGAGGAGCTGGGAGTTCTTAATGTAATGATATTTTATAAAATGACTGAAATACCAGGGTTGTGAAAGTCCTTGTAAACCACGTTGTGCGAATTCAAAAACTGATAGTGAAAATTAAGAGGGAAATGATGTGGCTGTTTTTACATTTTAAAATTATACTTTGGCTGCAGCTAATGTCTTGAGACAATATGACATGACATGTAATAGTAAGGTAATACTTTCAGTGAAAGGATATACTATGGTCAAAAAATATAAACTTGTAATTATATATTGTTTTTATATTGAAGGTACATAATTAAATTAAACATGTAACAGAAACTTAAAACACCACAGTTAGAAGAATCCTAAAGTGACATAAAACATATGAGTATTTGAACCATTCAAATTAAAGAAAAATATCCTAATTATGTGTTAAAAATCTTAAACTTTTGCAATTACATCAAGAGATTATAATATCTGGGCCGGGCTCGGTGGCTCACGCCTGTAATCCCAGCACTTTGGGAGGCCAAGGCGGGCGGATCACGGGGTCAGGAGATCGAGACCATCCTGGCTAACATGGTGAAACCCCGTCTCTACTAAAAATACAAAAAAAAAAAAAAAAATTAGCCGGGCGTAGTGGCGGGCGCCTGTAGTCCCAGCTACTCGGGAGGCTGAGGCAGGAGAATAGCGTGAACCCGGGAGGCGTAGCTTGCAGTGAGCCGAGATCATCGCCCCACGGCACTCCAGCCTGGGCGACTGAGCGAGACTCCTTCTCAAAAAAAAAAAAAAAAAAAAAAAAAAAATATATATATATATATATATATATATAATATCTGAAATAATTTGTTAAAATTTTCAAATATACAGATATTTTGATATGCTTCTTCAAAAGTATATAGTATCTTTAACAAATTTAAAATATAAAAAAATTTGAATCTCATAATTAGTAATTAGTGCATAGTAAAATTTCATAACTCATGGTAGAGAGCATAGCAAATGTAATCAGCCTTTATCTGAAAAATTTATTGTTAGAAAGTGTGTGAGCAGTATGCTAGTTTTCAAATACTCAGAGTTGAGAAGAATGTTTGAAAAATTTAAAATTCAGACTGAGGCTGGGTGTGGTGGCTCACACCTGTAATCTCAGCACTGTGGGAGGCTGAAGCGCGTGGGATCACCTGAGATCAGCAGTTCGAGACTAGCCTGACCAATATGGCAAAACCCCGTCTCCACTAAAAACACAAAAATTAGCTGGGCATGGTGGCGTGTGCTGTAGTCCCAGCTACTCGGGAGGCTGAGACAGGAGAATTGCTTGAACCCGGAAGGCAGACGTTGCAGTGAGCCGAGATTGCGCCACTGCACTCCAGCCTGGGCGACAGAGTGAGACTCCATCTCAAAAAAAAAAAAAAAATTCCAGATCGATTCAATTTTGTAATTTTCCAAATATTTTTTATAAACCTATTCAAAAATGACATTTTAAAAGCCACTACATTTCAAAGATATTAAATAATAACAAATAATAATAATGAAAAACATTATTATAAGAAAATCTAATAGGAGGTTATTATGCAGTATTCTAAAATCACACAGACCCATATATGTTTGCATGGGCATTAGATTCTTCAGTGACTGTAGCTCACAGACTTTAGGCTTTATCAATAAAACAGGTGGGACATTTGCCAAATAACACACAAAGAGGAATATTCACAGTATTTGAGTAATATAATAGTAGTAGTAGTAGATAGGAGGTAAGAAAACTATTGTCATATCAGATATCAAATTTAGCTGACAGTCAGGACAAAGAAGAAATATGTTACTTAAAATTCATGGCAAGGGAAACATTTCCAGACTGGCAGGGTAAGGGCCTCTGTAAATATGCTCTTTCATAAAAGCCATATAGAACACTGGCAACATTTGAAAAAAACAGCAACATTTTCATAATTTGGGAAATTAGCTAAAAACTTTCAACATGCAACAAGCATTCACTCAGGAAAAATGGCTAATCTATTTAAGAACAGCAAGCTTTGTGACATTTTACCTTGCTCTATTCCTCTCGCCTCTCATCCCAACTCCAACATAGCATTAATGCACACACATTCAAACCATGATACTGTGAAAACCAGCTACTGAAGGGGCAGACTGGGTGCAGAGTTTTCCAAAAGCCCCATACCTAGAGAATTTCATCTACTTGGCCAGTCTCAAAACTTTCTGGGAAACCCCCATTTACAGGGATTATTTTTATTTGACATGACTCAGAATTCTTTCAATGGGGAAAGTCCAGTCCCCTCAATATCTGGCAAAATAATCAGAGGGAATTATTTAACCTTGCAGCTGCCTGAGGCTGTGATACCGTTAGATCAAAAAAATAAACTGGCCAAAAAGTTAAAAGGAAGGTCTGGGAATTAGATGTCCATAGAGAGCTTTGAAAAGCTCCAATATATTCCTGCATATTTAGAAGGTCACACATAGGTGCAGAGATATGAATATGGCAAATAAATAAATGAGTCGTTCTAATCTTCTACTTCTGGCTAATTAACTTTGTAAACAGGGAGTGTAGCACCAGACAGAGTTATAAACTACCAGATAATTAAGCCATGCCTCAAAATATATATGGAGCCACTTATAAAAAGGTGAGAGACAAATTGGTTCAAGCCATCTAAAGATATTTCTATGCAAGAAGCAGCTAACCAATAAGCTAACTCAGCACAATTTCAGTGTCCACACATGACAAATAATACAGACTTTACATATTTATTTCAGAAAAATTCATTAAGGAAAAAAACTACAACAACATTAGCAGCACCAGAAATAACAAGAGCAACAACACAACAAAATCAAACAGCAAATACAATAAACCTTAGAAAGGGCATTTTATTTCCAGAGTTGCCCATTCTGTTATTTGAAATGTCCAATTTCAAGAAAATGTTATGAAAAATGAAAAGAAACATGAAAGCATGATGCATAAACAGAGAGAAAGGAAGCAGTCAAACAACTGTACCTGAGAAAGCGCAGATGCTGGTCTTACTGAAGAAGCACTTTTAATTAAATATAATTAACATACTAAAAGTAAAAAAAATACATAAACCTTGTCTAATGAATTAAAGAAAAATATGACAATAATATATTACCAGATAAAGAATTTCATTAAAAAGAAAACATTTAAAAAATCTAATTGAAATTCTGGAGTTTTCAAATACAATAGTTGAAAATTAAAATTTACTACATAGGCTCAAAAGCATATCTGAGATAGCAGAAGAAAAAATTAACTCACTTGAAAATAAGTCAATGGAAATTCTCAAGGCTGAGAAATACAAAGAAATATATATAAAGAAAAATTAGCGGAGTCTCAGTGACCAAACAGGACACCATAACGTGAAATATATATATATATATTTTGGGAGTCCCAGAGAAGCAGAGAGAAATAGTCAAAAATAATATTTGAAAAAATATTGGCTGAAATCTTTCCACATTAAAAAAAATTTACACATATAAGAAGTTAATGAACTCTAAATAGCAAAAACTCAGAGACTGACACCAATGCACAGCATCCTCAAATTGTAGAAAGCCACATTAAAGGGAGGACTTTGAAAGAAACAAGAGATAAATGCTTCCTCATGTATCAGTAATTCTATATATATTAACAGTGAACTTCTCATCAAAAGCGATAGAGGCCAGAATACTATTTTGGATCCATATGAAGAATTAAAGGCAACCGAGAAAGCCAACTACACAGGGAAATGTAAAAGAAAATATAAACTTATTTATGTTTGTGACTCTTTGTCCCTCTTTCAAAAGACAACTCTATAAACCAATAATTATATGACTCTGTTTATGGGTTTATAGTGTATAAAGATGCAATTTCTCTGCCAATAATAGCACCAAAAAGGGTGGGGGATGGTAAACAAGCTATACTGGAGCAAGAAGTTGACTACTAGTATAGATTACTACAGAAAGCAAGTTGCTATTAATCCAGGCCAATTTTTAAAAGATGTTAATTATAATAGCCAGACTGATCATTAAGAAAATATGTCAAACATATGTATATAAGAAACAAGATGTGTAAAATGGTACACTAGAATATAGATATTTAAGACAAGAAACAGAGTAATGGAGGACTAGAGGAACAAAACAGTCATAAAACTTATAGAAAACAAATAAAATGGCACATGTTAACTGACCTTGTCAATAATTACAATAAATATAAATGATTTAAATTCTCCAATCAAGTGATGTAAAGTAGTAATTAACATAATAATTTAATAAATTAAAATAATAAGGCTTTTTCCAGAAAAAAAGCATTTATATTCAGACATAATAGGTTGAAAGTAAAGTGTGAAAAAATATATATAATACTAACAAGTACGAAGCAAAAGCTGAAATGGCTATAGTGATATTAATTTAAATTGACTTTAAGAGAAAAAAATGTTAACTACAGTCAAGAAAGGACATTTTATATTAATCAAAGGGCCAATCCCTTAAAAATAGAAATTATAAACGTACTTGCACCCAACAAAACATCCCCAAATACATGAAGCAAAAACTGCCAGAATTGTAGGGAAAAAATTAAAAACAGTAATTAGAGGCTCAGTAATCCCCTCATAATAATGTATAGAACAATTAGGCACAGAACAAAATGGAAATAGGAGACTTGAAGAACACAGTAAACCTAAAATACTACAGAGCTAACTAGCATCTATAGAATACTCCACCCTACAAGAACAGAATACTCACAGTTTTTTCAAGAATCATATGGAACTTTTTCAATTATCATACGGAACTTTTTTCAGAATGGAATATGTTAGGCCATAAAACCGGCCTCAATCAATTTAAATTTATTGAAGTCATATAAATAATATAAAATATTTAAAAGGATTAAATTGTGCAGTTATTTGTCAACCACAATTTGATTATATTAAAAATCAATACGAGACATTAAATTATTTGTTTTGAAATTAATAAAAATCACAATACAACTTACAAAACATATGGGATGCAGCTGAAAAATTAGTACTGAGAGAGAAGTTTAAATCAGGTCTAAAAATAGATGTCGAGGCAACAACTTTATTAAACAAATTATGACAACTCCCTAGTACATTATACAACAGGATTTTTTGGTAGATAATGATAAATTCTACCAAATTTAGAGAAGGACTTGCTGGCTAACAGCAGGAAGTGTGGACATCAGAAAACTTACAGGTGTCAACTTCTTCAGGCTGCCCTCCCAAGGAATCTTGGATTTAGTTATTTTATAAGCCTTGGAAGCAAAGGCCCATCAATTCTTGGCACAAGCAAGACACATCAGACATACAATACAGTATTTACTCCAGAGCTTCCCATCAGGCTTTGCTGGGAAGGCTTTTAGGTTTTAGCTTTTTTCTCTGTCCAACTTGCTTCTTCTCCCTTCCTTTCATGGGTGTTATTCCCTAATAATAATAATTTTTAAAACCCTCAAACTCTGTTTCAGCACCTGCTTCCAGAAACATATCCTGCATCACTGCATGTCAAGAGAGGTACAGTGATTCAGGCAATAACCTGAAGCTTCATGCTGGATCATTCATTATCTGATTGACGTTGGGTCACATTGGTAGTAGGCAGGGTACAGACAGTTCCTGGGACAAGTTGATAGTTTAATTGAGAAACATTTTACATAAGGTGAATTTAGATAATGTGAATGAATGCACAACAGGCATCTAAGAAGTAATGGGAAAGTAGCAGTTATGTTATCTATCCACTGCCATTGGGATATAAAAGAGGAGAACTATTAAAACAGCAATGGATGACAGTGGGCCCTGGAATATATAATAATGAAGCTTGAATTGACTCTCTGATTCTATTTGTCCTCCACTCAGATGTAACAATTCTAGCTCATGAATTCTTTTTGATCCTGCCACACCTGCCATCCTTTATATAAAAGGCAAGCCCAGTTTTTCAAAACCCGTATACTGCTGGGTTGCAGGTGTCATGGCTTTGTTCTAAAAGCCGATGTCTTGTATTGTAGTTTTCTCATGAGGAAGTGCTACAGACTTTATATTTCTCCCTCTAATATCTCCAAAACCATAGCATCTGCCAGATCATGACTGTTGTTTTTCACTTCCTTTCTTCATAAAATCTTGTGTAAAGATATGATGTGATGCCTGGAGCAACAATAGACACCATGTAAGCAAATAAAAAAGAATATTAAAGTTGTCTACAGCCAGTGCCCCACTATTATTGACTTTTTGAACAAAGTTTCTAGACTTTATTTTTGACAAATTTTAAATATCATTATTGTTTTAGCGATTGTATTTGTTTTTACATTTTTCATTTACTTCATTTGAAAGTTTTTCTGTGTCACTGGTTAATTTAGAAAATGGGGAAATATTTTCATTTACAAGTTCCAAATGTAATTTTGGAATCCTTAAAGTATATCTTGGAAATGAATATATCTCATAAAGGAACTCAGACACCGCAATGGAAGTACTATCATTTTCTTTTTCTTGTCATGTAAAGCCTATTATCCTTGACAGAGTCATGTTGCCTCAACTGGGCACTTTTCCTTCTTATTTTCGGTACTACAAATTACTTAAGATACCTCAGCCTGTATTGGACATCTCTGCTGATTCCTGCAATAAAATAGCATCTGCTAGACCTAACTTCAATTTATCTATCTTATTATTATTTTTCACTAAGAATGTATTATTTTTCAAGAATTGCCTCAATTACTTATAAAACTAAATCTTCTGTGGCCAGAAAACATAGTTGGTGAGATGTATTGGGATGCATCTAAATAACATCTGTGGCCACAACTTATGCTTACAGCAGCAATCTGCTACACGTGATAGTCTAGGGTTTTGAACCTGACTTTGTAATAAGTGGATGGCACTAGCAGAAAATATCCAAGTGCCAGGAGTTAGATGATTTATTTTTTATAAGAATTGTGAATAGAAACATAAGATAGCAAGTGTTGGTGAGGATATGGAGAAACTGGAACACTTACATACTGTTGATGGGAACATGAACTGTTGCAGTCATGGAAAACAATGTGGAAGTTCCCAGAAAAATTAAAAATAGAACTCTCATATAATCCAGCAATCCCGCTCCTCAGTATATTCGAAAAGAATTGAAATCAGGGTCTTGAAGAGATATCTGAACTGCCATGTTTATTGCACCATTATTCATAATATCAAAGATACAGAAATAACCACTCCTTACCATACTAAATATTTATTGTTTTACTTTTTGTTCTTTCATCCAACAAAATATAAGCTATATGTGGCTGTTAAGTTTTTTAGTCATGATCATTGGTCATTTGAATAAATGCATAAATAAACTCCTTGAAACTTCTAGTAATTTTTGTAAGTATAATTATTTTCCTTCTCATTTACTCTTCAAAAGAAGTGTGGATAAGAAAGGACAAGATTTAATTTATCTAAAGGGAAGTCTTCTTCAGGCCAAAAGTTTCTCTTAAATTAGTTTCTAAAAGTGATTCAAATAATCAATAGGCAGTGTAATCCTCCTCACCACCTTACCAAGGGATTCAACACACCTACCCAAATTCTCATGTCCTCTGCTAAATCTTCGTCTTTCCACAGCCATTTGTGCTTTCCTAGCTTCAGAGTCAGTGAAAAACCCTCCTGTACTCACCTTTAGAAAACGAATTGACAAGCTTAAATTTTATCTTACCTAAGATAGAAGTCTTAATTTATTTACTGAATCTTTTTATCAAGAAGTTAGAAAAAAGAGGCAGTTCCTATATTTTTCAGCCTCTCTTGTTGCTGCTTTATAGATCACTATATTTTATTAGACAATTCTTAAAAACATTTGAGTACTTTCTATACTCCCTATTCCGTTTGTTTATTCAAAGAAATATCACCAACAATCAATAGTTTACATTTTATTTTGATAAAATTGTGAATATTGCTCCAGGAAAGTTTTAAAAAGACATCCAATGCAATATTCTTATTATAATACATAGATGAAGAAACTAAGACTGGAAGAGGTTAAGGGACTATTGTTAGTGCAGGACAGCTATGAAATTATAGAACAGGATATATTTTTCCCAGGCTTATACTCTATTCAATACACTGAGCTGAACCATAAGCAAAACAATTTTAGTGTAGACGTATAGACAATGAATAATGTGGAGGTATTTCTTCTCTTAGAATTTTATCTCAATATTTTAGAAGGTAAAATTTAATATATGAATAATTACATGAAAATGCATTTTTGATATTTTTGAGGCTTGAATGTCTTTTATATTAAAACTTTTCCAAAGGAAATATAGCCATTATTTCAGAAACACTGTGTGTGTGTGTGTGTGTGTGTGTGTGTGTGTGTGTGTGTGTGTAAAATGACACTGCAAGCTCTTTGGCATTATATCGTCCATATTTTTCAAAACAGATAACTTAGCTCATCCTACTTTGTCATGGAGGAGCTAGAGTGTACATATTTCATTCTTTTAATCTCTCATTTTAACTTCTCAGCTCCTTCTGCATTTTCTTCAAAGGTCTTTCCATTTGTCAGCATCTTTATGACATTGAAGTGTTTCAAACTGGAAACAACATTACAGGTATTTGACCTTATCAGCTTTTCTTGTTTATTGCTTACTTTTCACCTGTCACAAAAAATAGAATGGAAACCTGAAATGACAAGACACTTTCTGTGTATGATATATCATTGCTTTATTTAAGTGGAGGAGCTCTATTTCTCAATAAAATATGTAATTATAGCACACACTTTTTTAAAGTTATCATCACATTTACCATTATATAAACCTATGATGTTTTATATATTATTTAGATGTCTTGTTTGAGTCCACAGAAGCTGGGTGCTTTCATTTAAGAGTTTGTGTCTAAATGTAAATTTCAGTGCTGTAAGGTTACTCAAAAGGTTTCCAAAAGTAAAAGTAAAATTTACCCTTTGGGGTTTGAAAATAATTGATTCTTGAAAAGCTGGAGCTTTTGTACAAATAATAACTATTAAGGCCACAAAATAAGTCTTTAAATGATAACTGGAACTAAATTATTAGCTGCTATTAGGCACTTTTGTGTTTAATAAAAGTAAAAAGCAAAATGAAATGGCTTTGGGTAAGTCCTCCCAGAGGATGAAATGTGAAAGTAAGCCGGTAGATAACTTCGGACATTTTGCTGAAAAAATAAAGGGAAAGAGAGAGAGAGAATGAATAAAGATGAGAATTAAGAAAAATTATGAAAGCCAGTTTTCCTCTCTGATCTCTAAACTGAAGGAAGAGGAACTTCCCCCATGAGGTAGAAGGTCGCTGAAGATACTGGTATATTTCAGGAAGCAACTACTTTTTCTTTTCAACGGGTTATGAAACAAGCAGAGAGTGGCATCTTTTGTTAAAAAGAATGTTCTTGGAAACTCCTGCTAAGCACCTAAGAAGACTAAAGATATGCAAACGATGACAAACGCAGGAATAGAAAGTGTGTTGACAAGCAATCCTAGAAATAGCCTGCATATGGTGCGGGATTTGCAAACAAAAAGGAGAGGGATGTCTATGATTGGCGGGGAAATAGGGGTCCCCTGGAGGACCGTCTATCACTTAGTAATAGATTAGAGTCCTAGGTTCCTTGTCAGGTGCTACTGCTCCAAACAGGCTACTAGGCTTCCTCCCACCAATCCATGATCCTCTCCCATTTCCCCCTAACACCTCCTTCAGTGGGGCCTTAATAGGGTCACAGGCCAGCTTTCAGCGTCAGGCTTTTCCTTGCTAGCAGGCCTGTCTACCTCGAGGGTAGTCACACTAGTCAGTACCCTGTTTAGCATGGTAGCCTGGCAAATGTGCCTAACTTCCTAGAGCAACTCAAGATCAGTGGCACTTTACAGGGAAATTTACAAACATTTGGCATCAGCAAAAAATAAAGACTTATTTTAAAGCCACAGAGACTTGAAGGATGTCTACAGAATCTGACCTTGATTATTCAAAATGATATTAATTTTTTTTTGTTTGTTTGCTTTAGTTTCCAACTTGAAAGCCATTACAATTTATTAATGTTTTGCCTCATGAACTTTTGGTCAGTATTGTATTATTTCTATTGTTTGAAATATAGTGTCAGATATCTATATGGTCCAATAAACTACTTTTTACAAATGTTCTATCTTCACTTTAAGATAAAACATACATCATTTGATTTTCAGAAGATCTCTCTTTTTCTCTCACCCTCTCCTTCTTTCACTGTTTTTTTTTTTTGCTTTTTTATCTACTTATCTATCAATTTATATATCTAATCTACCTATATATTAATAGTGGTCACAGTATATAAATCTTATTTATTTGCATCCACTTGATTCATCTAGTTTTGAGAGCTGTGTTAAAATCTACTTTGCATGTGTCATTTTCTATGAAAGTCTCTGTTTTTCTTTTAAATTTCTGCTTAATGACAGTTGTTGCTTTATTATATGTTTTATAGGTATAAATAAATGTTACATCTTCATTGTGAATTATAGTTACAGCTCACAAATTTTCCCTCTTTAACTTTTTTAACAACTATTTTGGGGGCTAATTACTACTTTCTCTGGTATCAAAATCAGGTACCTTAATTTTTATTTTAGTCTCCCTATAATATTTTGGCTCTTTTTTCAATGTTTAGCCTGCAGGAATCATTATGTTTTAGATGTGTTTCTTGCATACAACATAAAGACAGATATGCTTTTCTGGTCAAGTTGGAACTATTTTAGTGAATGAGTTAAACTCACCTGGATTTATTTAAATGTAAATTTGTTCGGTCTTATTTCTAGGACACTTTTGTGATCCCTTCCTTCCTTCCATCCTTTGTTTGTTTGTTTTATTGTTTCCTTTTCTTTTTTAGTATGCTTGTTTGCTTTCATTTGATATCCAGTAGCACATGTATTATTAAATGTATTTGTCCATCAGGTAAATTAAAATCTAGTAATAATAATCACATAATAAGAGGTTTCAAAAACAGGAGAAAATTTGCTTAGAGGACTGAAATTTTATAATATGCCACAGAAGGTGTTATATAAATCCCACATCATGATAATTATCTATCCATTTTCTAGTCACAGTTTAAAAGTATATTTCTAATATACCTCCCGTACTTTTTAGAAGTGTAATTAATATTTCAGATAATTTACCTTAAAATCAAATGTGATTTGACCTCCTTGTCCTCATTTTCTACCTCTCCAATACCTATGTGAAGATAAATCCAGCAGCATTATGCCAGGTATACAGACAAGGATCTCATTATGTTTCCTAGTAAGTAGCATCATGGCTTCCAAGGAACGTAATGCTTCAGTACAGTTTCTATCACATAATAAAAGTAAATCTTGGATCTAATTTCTCCCATTATATTATGTCTAGAAGAATAGCTTGAAGTATCTATGAAAAACAAAAGCCAGTATAATTTTATATAAATCAGGAAAATGTTTATCCTTTTAATTCCTCACCCCAATACCTTCAATGACGCAGCCAGGAAATTATTCTTCCAACTGTCAGAGACAGAACATTATTTACAACTTGACAGCTCTGTCTCCCTACATTTGGATCAGAAATAATAGTTTTGAATTGGAATTTTTTTAAATCCTTGTTTATTTTATACCAAGAAAAATTTTGTATACTATAACCATAAGATATAAAGTATTTTGTTTTATCGTCTTTAATGCAGTGGTGTATCTGTCAAAATTATATGCAATCCCTATACCATGAGGAAATTCGGTTGGGAATTGGAGTGGACATGACAATTGTAAAGACTTGGTAGATCTTAGAGACTTTTCAGTTAGCAAAAGAGATGGAATCAATGAAATTTAGCCATCCCGATATGAAGTGATGTATTCCCAAAAGTTATTAACAAACAGAGGATTAATACTTTAAAAAAGTTCCTGTGCTGAAATGAGACTCCACAACTTTAAAGGAGATAACTGAATTATGAACAGTAATAATAAATATAGAACTAATCTAGATAGTGGTGAAACTTTTCATTGTGGTCATAAAAGGGAAAAAGTATAACAAATTATGAAATAAAAAGGAAAAAGGAAAAAGTCATTATCAATTGATTCTTTTGGTTTCAAGCCATAATAGCAACTCTGGTCACTTAAAGAATATACAACATTTCTTGTAAGCTATAGGGAATCAGCTTCAATGATAAGGCAAGAAACAGGAAATAACCTATTCTATGATGAAGGCACAGCACTAAAATGAGTAAATCCTAAGATACTCACCTTGGGAAAATTCTCCCTCCCCCCAACACACACATATATTTTAAAGGCATCAGCAACATAAAAATTACTAGCAAAGGCTTATAAACTCAAGCTATTCACTTAAAAATCAGTAATTCTGAGTTGATGTTAGTAATTTCTCTGGTATACCACCCATTCCAGATCTCAGATTGGTCAAGGAATCTTGCTTCTTCTAGGGATCCAAATTTCCCCCTAGAGACCGGAGCCCTTCATTAATGAGCCTCCATGAGACCCCGTGCAATAGTCTTCTGCTTACCTTTACTATTGGGAATGTATGACCAGGACATACTTCGCTATTATTTATAATTTGTTTATTTTTATTTTTTATTTTTTGAGGCAGAGTCTTGCTCTGTCGCGCAGGCTGGAGTACAGTGGTGCAATCATGGCTGACTGCAACCTCTGCCTCCCGGGTTCAAGTGATTCTCCTGCATCAGCCTCCCGAGAAGCTGGGATTGCAGGTGCATGCCACCACATCTGGCTAATATTTGTATTTTTAGTAGAGACTGGATTTCACCATGTTGGCCAGACTGGTCTTGAGGTCCTGACCTCAGGTGTTCCACCCTCCTCTGCCTCCCAAAGTGCAGGGATTACAGGCATGAGCAACTGCGCCTGGCCTATTTGTAAAATTTTAAGGAGTTCTGCCCAACTTAAATGATAAGAAACAGTGGATATGAAGAATGAAAAATATAGGAAAGGAGAAAACCAAGTTGTAATTATTTTCCAATAATGTTTGCAGTTTATGCTGCTATGTAATATTATATAGTGATTTCACTTTTGTTTTTTAAAGAAGACTTACTGTTTCAGGACAATCTATTCCAATAGCTATGATATAAAATCTTAATTATTCCTTTATAATGAACAGTTTGTAGTGTTTATAGGCTTTTTTTTACATAGTCCATTGATTTATCTCTGTTTTGTGGAAATCAACATTATATTGCTTACGTTACTGTAACTCCATAGGTCTTCACACTGTCTATTGGTGGGTTCAATTGTTATTCTTTTTATTTCTAAAAATTGTGTTCAGTTTTTACATACATAGTACTTTATTTGAAATTTTAAATCCTTTCATAAAATTCAAAATAAACATCCACAAACCTATCATTTAGATTTTGATCTGAGTTCAGTTACATCGAACTTCATATATAAGTTCTATTTTTTTAAGTACATTGCCATAATGACAGAATTTGGAACTCTCATTCACATTCATATACAAATGAACATTTATTTGTTACATATTCCTTGAATTGGTCTTTGTAAACTTCAAAATTTTCTTCAAAAAGTTGATTTTGTCAAAGCTAATTTCATATTTTTTGTTTCATTGTTTCCTATTATATTGCCCACCCTGATCATTCTGATATGAATGAAATAGATAAGTATTCCTTATATCAATATTTATTACATGTTGTCACCGTATGGAACATTTTATTAATTAATAGCATACTTCAGTATTATAAGAAAGATTGTTAGTAATCTCTTTTCTAAGTTTAAAAATCAACCTAATTTTTCATTTTTTAAGGGACACATTTCTGAACCCTAATGGATTAACTAGCTGGCCTCTCAAGTTGCCTTTCAATGTTAATACTTAATGGTAGCTTGGAAAATGCTCATGTATAATGTGAAATACAGACTACAAAAAGTAATTATTGGATAATGTGTATAAGCTGCATAAAAGCAACAGAATAAAAATTTTATACACAGGAGAGTTACACAGATGCACACACACACACACACAAGCATGTGTGCTTCTGTGCATACCACACAGAATTCTGCAAAGGAAGGACAAGAAGAAAATAAAAAGAAATATGAAAAGTATTTTAACTTACATGTCAAAGTAAATTTTTTTTTTCTAATAACATCTATTCTCAAAATATTCTTAATGTGTGGACCTCGAAAATTTGAGACAGGTCTCAGTTACTTTACACAGTTTATTTTGTCAAGGTTGAGGATGCCTGCCTGTGACACAGTCTCAGGGGGTCCTGATGACATGTGCCCAAGGTGGTCAGAGCACAGTTTGGTTTTATACATTACAAGGAGACATGAGACATCAATCAACACATGTAAAATGAACATTTGTTCGGCCTCAAAAGGCAGGAAAACTGGAAGCAAAAGCCAGACAAATGCAAGTAACTCGAAGTGGGGAGGTCCCAGATAGGTGAGAGACAAATGGCTGTACTCTTTTGAGTTTCTAATTAGCCTTTCCAAAGAAGGTAATCAGATATAAATTTATCTCAATGAAGAGAGGGATGACTTTAAATAAAATGGGAGTCAGGTTTGTCCTAAACAATTTCCAGTTTGAATTTTCCCTTTAATTTAATGATTTTGAGGGCCCAAGATATTTTCTTTTCACAAATGTGTATCTCTTTACTTGTCAATACCCCCAAATAAACTCCATGCCATTGTAGCTTGCTTTGGTGAATAAGCACAAAGAGGCTTACTTGGATTCGGAAGTCAGATGCACCTGTGTTCCAGCCTTGGCTGTACAACTTATTCGCTGTGTGTCCTTAGCTTCTCTGACACGTATGTGTAGTGCCTGGCTCATGAGATTACCAAGAGCAGAAAGGGAAATTATGAGAGCTAATTGCTTAGCACAGAACCTGCCCAAGGTAGTAAATGGTTTTTGTGTCCATTATGCCTGGCAGCTTAATGATTCTAGGATATTGATTGGTTTTCTTCAGCTTCACTCTTGGTTTCATTTCCTCAAGCCCCAAAAGGGTGGCACAAAAGAGGCACATTCTGAACTCAGAGTGCTGAAGAAGAAATTAATTGAAAGGACAGGAAAACATGGAAAAACATATGTTCTTGTAAACCAGAAATATAATTCTAAACTCCCAACTGACTGAACGTGAAATCTCCTTTGCAAAAATTATAACTGAGGGAATTTTGACAGAGACATCTAACATGGCTGACTCCATCTTGTCTCTAGATTCATAGGCTGGCTGTCTTTGCTCATTCCTAAGCATGAGCTAAGCTAGCTTTGTGGGAAAAAAAAAATAGTTTATAGTTTAAATAATAGCCCTTCCCCAAACCTAAACTCTTCTTGTAAAACTAATGAAAGACCACCAAGTTAGGATGAGAGGGCCTGGAATTTTAGATAATTATCTAAATTATTCTTGAGGTCATAAGATTTTTAACTTCCCCAATTACTCTTGAAGATAACATCTATTATTGTATAGATAATACTATCGTAAAACCTAAGATTAGCCTTTTGAGATGTCTTTTCATGTTTTTGCATTTCTGACAACCAGATGGCTCCATGTGGCCTGTTGTGGCCCCCACCCAGGAAGTGACTCAGCACAAGAGAACAGCTTCGACATCCTATGAGGGTCATTTCAAAACCAACTAATCAGTGCTCCCAACTCACTGGCCCCCTGCCCACCAAATTATCCTTAAAAACTCCAGGCCCCAAATTCTCAAGGAGACTGATTTGAATAATAATAAAACTTGTGTCTCCTGTGCAGCCAGCTCTGAGTGAATTAAACTTTATCTCTTGCAAATCAAAATGTATCTGACAAGTCTCAATCAATTTAGTAAGTTTATTTTTCCAAGTTTGAGGATGCACTGTGACACAGCCTCAGAAGCTGCTGACGACATATGCCCAAGGTCATCAGGGTACAGCTTGCTTTTATACATTTTAAGGACACATAATACAGCAATCAGTACATGCAAGATTTACAACGGCAGAACAACTTGAGGTGCTGGCTTCCAAGTCATAGGCAAATTTGAACATATTCTGATTGGCAATTGGTTGAAACAGTTATTATTTATAGAAAGAAATGTCTGGGTTATGATAAAGGGTTGTGGAGACCTATGTTTTATTATGTAGATGAAGTCTCTAAGTAGCAAGCTTTTTAGAGAGAATAGACTGTGTTTCTCATCAGACTTAAGGTCTGTGTTGATTTTAATGCTGGAGGGTTATAATAAGGCATATCCAAACCCTACTTCCTGTCATGGCCTGAACTAGTTTTTCAGCTTAAATTTTACGGTGACCTGGCTGAGGAGGAATCCATCCAGATGGTTGTGGGGAGCCCTTAGAATTTTATTTTTGGTGTACACTCTATTGCAATTCCACTGTCTCGAGAAATTGGCTCTGTCTAGGCAGCAGACAAGGAGAACCCATTGGGCAGTTACAAACAGACCCCCACCCCAGGCCAAGGGAAACCTGAAAAATTGAATTCACAACCAAGATGGGAAGAGAGGTCAGGCATGCCTCATTATACCACCACCCTTTTGGAATTTAGGCACAACTGACCAACATTAACCTTAAAACAGAGATAACAAGGCTAAAAAGACAGATACTTTGTAGTAATAAGACACCAAAATCAAACCTGATTCTGCCATAGCATTATAAATAAGATAGATAGCAGACCCTGAAGGAAATCAAAATACATTTTGAAATGGCCCTTCAAAGCCATATTTTGTGGAAGAAACTTGCATCTGTAGAGAATCTCCTTACTTTTCTAGGTCTTTCCCAGATCTAGGAGAGATTAAATGAAAGTCTGATAACTTTAAGGTTAGAAAAGAGACATTTACCATATTATCTAGGGCTGCTACACAGAGGCTTCATCTACTTAACAAGAACCTTGGCTTTCACAACCTTCCTTATCTTAAGTATTCACTTCAAGTCTTTAGACAGAGTTTCAACCAATTACCAATTACAGAATCTTCAAATTCACCTATGACCTCTAAACCCTGCATCGAGATGTCCTGCCTTTCCAGACTGAACTAATGTATACCTCTATTTAATGTGAATCCTGGTTCATTGTGCCTAACTCCAAAAGAGATGTATTGACTTATGTCTTTGCCTGTAACTTCTGACTCCCTAAAATGTATGAAACAAAACTATAACCCAACGACCTTGGGCACACCTTCTCAGGACTTCCTAAGACTAGTTTTTGGGACATGGTAACTCATATTGGTTTATAATAAACCTCTCTAAATATTTCACAGAGCCTGACTTTTTCATCAACATTCCTCCAAGTCTCCCTAAATACACTGGTGTCTCTGTCCTTGGTAGTCCTCCCACCTGCTAATTCCCACATTGGTCATCACAGTAATGCTTAGGTTTATTAAAAGGTGTCAACTCAATGGAATATTTCTGACCAATGTCTACTTTTCTACTGTATATTAAATGTGTTTAGAGTTATGGTGGATTCTTAGGCAGAGCATGGGTGAGGTACACATGCAGGTATACAAAAAGATTACCTACAATAGTCTTGCTGGCCTTCCACTCGACGAAATGTTTCACCATTAAATTCAGCCCTTTGAGGCAACCCATATCTTCCTAAAATAGTTTCTGCACTGTGTTCTAGCCCATCACATGCCAGCATTGAAACCATCCCCACAGGGTTAACAAAAATTGCATGCTGGGTTCTGGACAGAGGTATAGTTATAATTAAGCATTAGTCAGGCTGAACTTTGGCCGATTTCCTCATTGCTAAAAGTCACATAGCAATAGATACTGACCATTGCCATCCCAATTGTTCCTATAAATAAAATTTCTGACACTAAGGTCATAAGACTGTTAAAGAATTGATTTTCATCTTCATTGTTCCTAAAGACAGGATCTCTGATATTAGAATCAAAACAAAGGCTTTTGTGTAAGGATTGCTTAAGATGTTTCTCAGACCGTGAATTGCAGCAATCACTTTGAAGACATCTATAGAGGGATGGGATTAGCATGAGAACACAGTTTCTGCATCTCCCTATCCCATGAACTCACCCTGCACTCTTCCTTCTACTAATCAATGATCTCTACACTTCAGCCTACTCCCAAACCCTTAGAAATTCTAACTCTGAATTCCTTGGGGAGGTGGATTTGAGGTTTTCTCCCATCTCCTAGTTTGGTGATCCTACAATTACACCTCTTTCTTTTCTGTAACCCAGTGTCTCAGCTTATTAACTTGCTGTGTGCAACAGGAAATGAACGTATTATGGTTACAATATTATCAGTTTATTATGGACCCACTCTAATCTCATACCTAGGAATGAGGTCTGGGGAAAATGGATTTAAAAATAGACAAATTCAAAACCAGGGCCACTGGTTGATAGTGAGAAGTCTGAGTAGATTCAAAAGCAGGAAGATGAAGAACTCAGACAGCCCATTCAGATCCCTGATAATTATGAACAGCTGCCCTGCCTTTTATTGCTTCCACTTTAAAGCAGCTCTGAGAATCAACTCTTTTTTACCTGATAACTCCATCATCTTAGTTTTAGAGGCAACAGGGAAAAAATGGTTCACTGAATGGGATCTGGGATTATCTTAAACAACAGTTCCAAGGTAGAATATTCATATTCATTGAACAGTGGGATCTGAAAGAAATTACCTGATGCGATGCTATCTTCTGTACCTACAATCATGTGAAGTGGTGATTAAGGGAGTTGCTGAAGTAGTGTAGAGGGAAAAAGACTAGCACATAAAAAGCTTTCAGCAAATGGGAGACATGTTTACTCTACCCTTTAATTGTGGTCCCATTTTCAAGAATTTCCTCAATTCCTTAGCCTTCTTCCAAAATCCTTTGTTGGAAAAAATAAGGCATTCTCACTTTATGTATTTTCATGAAAAGATCACATGCAACATTCTCATTCATTCATTCATTTATACTTGAAGATTTTGAATAGCAAATGGGAGAACTATTCCCCTGATTATCACAAAGTTTTCTTTAGTTCTTTCTCTGTAGTACCTACTTACCACTTGGGAGTATTTATCTTTCAATGCCCCTTCGGTAATGTTATTTTCCCAATCTTTGGTCTCCGGTCTGTTGGGAAGAAACCTCCAATTGCTACTTAAGATTCTCTTGGGGAATTAGGATGGCAACATGAATTAGCACTAAGTATTCCCTCATCTTTGCAGGCTGATAACTCAGAAAACCTCCAGGGGCAGCAAGTCCCGTCTCACTGTACCTTGAATTTACTTGGCCCTGGTCCCTTAATTGATAACGCTCCTCCATATTGAGTGAGGCTAATGGAATACACCATGTAATCAGCCTACTTCTCTCAACATCTTGAGGTGGGGAGGCAGTAGACATGAGCATTACAAGTTACAGATGAATCATAACAAATACCCAACACCAGATTCACAACACAAGCTTGAGAAGGGTGTTTTGTAGCCACCTGCAGATGAGCTTGAATTAGATGGATTCAGCTTAAAAGCAAAACCCTAAATGTAACCTGATCTTGCTACCATCTGCCTCATTCCCTCACAAACTCACCACCACCCAGAACAGCATTTCTGAGAATTCCTAGCAGGAGTGACACTCATTATGGGGACACCTTTGTTTGTGGGCACAAGTAAGCAAGCTGGTAGAAATGGTTCATAGCCTAATGGGAGACATTCTCAAAGGAGACAAGAAAGAATAATGAATGAGCTGTAAATGAAGTTTTATATGCTATTGGAGAGCAGAAGTGGTGTGAATGCTGTGTGCTGAGAAGCCCCTCAGGCAAGAAGTGCTGCCTCATATAACCCAAGAAATTTATGAAATCCTGGGGAAAGAACTATGCCCAACCACACAGCATTGCATATCTAAAGGCAGGACAGACTGCAACATACATTTTTTTTCCATTTTAAAGTTGAGATATAATTCACATACCATAAAATTAAGTATTTTTAATCATACATTTCAGTGAATGTAGTATGTTCACAAGATTGCATAACCATCACCAAATGCCAGAACATTTTTATCAACCTAAAAGAAACTCCACACCCTTAAGTACTCACTGGCAAGTACTAATGTATTTTCTACTGCTAAGGATTTGCCTGTCCTGGACATTAATATAATTGAATTCACATAATTTGTGACCTTTTGTTTCTGGTTGTTTTATTTAGCACAATATTTTTAAAGTTCATCCATATTATGTACTTCCAACTCTGTTATGGCTCAATAATATTCTACTTCATGGATATAGAATTTTGTTTATCCATTCATTAGTTGATAGATATCTGGGTTATTTCCACCTTTTGACTATTATCAATAATGCTGCTATAAATATTTGTGTACAAGCTTTTGTGTTAGCATATAATTTTTCAGTATTGCTTCACTCTCCTTTTCTGATGCCAGTCTTTGCATATACTGAAGGCATTTAATTTAGTTTAGTTGCTTCTGATTACTATTCCCCCACATTTTCTGATTATACAGTATTAAGACACACATGACCCATGCCATGTCAAACTGAGTCTTCACTGGAATTTTCTGAAGGACTATTCATAAAGACTGGTCTTACTAAACCTGTAGAATATGAATCTGAAACTACGTAGTAACCACATTTTCAACTGAATGGAGAAATCTGATCCAACAAATCAAAATCAAAGTTAATTCAAATTTTATGATTGTTCAATTTGATTGCCTAAATTCAGTCACATCTGACTAGACTTCCTAACTGTGTGTGTCAGTAATTTTCATCTTGGTTGGTATTACAAGGAAAAGAAGAAAGTCCATGAAACATTGCTATGGTATAAACCTAAAAATGCCAGAATGTCTTGAATGAGCATGGTGAGCCAAAGACCACAAGGAGATCTTACATGGGACATTTTTCTGTATTACACCCATTGCAAATAACTGTGCTGGGCAAACGCAGCAAAGTTGGTAAGAATAATCATAAGGTGGTTCATATTTAAATAAGGGGCACAGAATTAGGTTTAGTCAGTCCCAAGAATCAATGTAAAGTAGGGTCAGGTGCAGTGGCCCATGCCTGTAATCCCAACATTTTGGGAGGCCTAGGCAGGTAGATTGCTTGAGCTCAGGAGTTTGAGATCAACTGAGGAAACATAGCAAAACCCTGTCTCTACTAAAAATATGAAACCTAGCCGGGTGTGGTGGTGTGAGCCTGTGGTACCACCTACTCAAGAGGCTGAGATGGGAGAATTGCTTAAATCTCAGAGGTAGAGGTTGCAGTGAGCTGTGACTGTGCCACTGCACTCCAGCTTGGGTGACAGAGTGAGACCCTGTCTCAAAACAAAAACAAAAACAAAGTAATAATTAAATGCAGAACTAAAACTTCATAATATGACTGCCTTTTTTTAAACATAGATATCTTCATTCTCATAAGCTCTTAGATATGCTGTCTAAAAAGCAAATCTGTATTAAACTCTTCTTTTATTTACAGAAAAATTAGACATAGACCTAAAATAACTCTGATATTTGTCATTTTAATACTCAATAATTGAGGAATACAGACTATATTCTTAGTGAATGCATTAAAAAGAAAAAAGAATCCATCATGATAACACTTACGATAGTTCAAAAGAGAAGAAAGAATGAGAAAAATCACAGTAAAAGCAGACCATAGAACAGAGACTACAAGGTCAAACTTTCACACAATACCAACACATATCTTCAAAAATATTCAAGAGATTGAAATTTAAGGGATTGGATTGGAATTTTATAATTAGTTATGAAAAAGACATTTAGAATATTGAGAAAGATACTGTAAGGGGTGACAAATAACTAGTTTTATGATTCAAAGTGCTTATAAAGCATCAGGCAAAAACAGTGAAGATAAATCTACTCAGGAATTAACCCAGTAGAATTTGTAAATTTCAAGAATGAAAGAAAAATATTTCCAAGTGAAGTGATAAGGTTATCGGGAGGTTGGCAAGTAGCTTAGAATGTGTGTTACAACTGAGTTTATCAGGATAAGAAGAATAAGTGTGCAAGAAGGAGAAAATATAGCACAGATGTCAGAGCTTGAGCAGATTAAGCATATCCCCATTAAGGCAGAGTCAGGATACTCTAATACCTCATTAAGTGAGGAGTCACTGTGCTCTAAAGACTAAGTATAGGATTTGTACAGGAAAGAGGGTAAGGGTGAACCAGTGCATAGGGTTAAGGTCCGAACAAGTTAATGTGGCTGCCTCCTCGTAACTGGTGTGAACTCAAGAAGTAAAAATAGATGTAAATTCCTGTGAGTAACTATGAATGAACATTTGTTGCGATATATTTTCCATTTCTTGCCCCTGAGAAAGTCTGGGAAGAGTAACATTCCCCAAACAATGAAACAGCTAGCTTCTAGATTTTGGTTTTCCAGTATCAACTTCCACTAAAATGAACCTCAACTCCTTGGAAAATTTTTAAATTCCAGACTTGGAGCAGGAGAAGTACAATATAATCCTGAATTTTAGAACGAAAAAATATAATTTGGTACCAAAACATAAGAAATAAGTTCAAAGAATGATTCAAATAATGATATGGGACTTGTCAAAGAGACACAAAATCCAGTTAAAGGAGGTTTTCACTGGCAAAATCTGGAATAATTTGAGCAGGAAAATAAATAACAATAATGATGGATTATAACACACTGAAAAAAATAAAAAGCTATGAGTCTATACTGATAAGAATAAATCAATGCCTTGTAATTTTCATGTGGAAGATGTTTACACAGTTTCACAATGCCTTAACATTAAATTCTAATTACTTACAAAAGAAGAGAGAATGGTTTTATGGTGGAGATGTCTGGAAGGTACTAATAAATCAAATAACGGATACTAACATAATCAGTAATAGGGCAAAAATATTTGGTGCCACCTGAGGGTAGGCAATGAGAGCACAGTGGTACATCTCTAATGTTCCTGCCAAGTATTCCAAACCCAATTAAACCATGAGGAAACATCATACAAAGCCAACATAATGGGCACTGTATAATAAAATTGGTCTGTAGTTTTCAAAATTGATAAGTCCACGAAATTAAAGTCTGGGAAATTTTCAGATTGAAGAACACTACAAACATGACAACTAAATGCAACCGTTTATTCTAAACTGGGCAATTATGTTATAGCAGGTATTATTGATATATTTTTTGTTTGTTTGTTTGTGACAGGGTCACCCTGTCAACCCAGGCTTGATCAAGGTTCACCGTAGCTTTGACTTCCTGGGCTCAAGGGATCCTCCTGTCTCAGCCTACCAAGTAGCTGGGACTACAGATGTGCCATCACATCTAGCTAATTTATTTTTATTTTTTGTAGAGATTGGGTCTTGCTATGTTGCCCAGGCTGGTCCCAAACTCTTGGACTCAAGCAATCCTCCTGCCTCAGCCTCCCAAACTGCTGGGATTCCAGGTGTGAGCCACCATGCCCAGCCTGAATCCTGAAAGTGTTCTGAAGGTTAGATGAGAGTAATGTATCAATATCAATTTCCTGAGTTTGATGGTTTAGTAGTGTTATGTAAGAAAATATCCCTGTTTTTGAAAAATATATCTAAGTGTTTGGGAGTGATTTTGTGTCAGTCAGAGTTCTCCAGAGAAATAGAATCACTAGAATTAACTAGGAGATACATAGTAGAATTTGTTTCTCAGGGAAATCTGATTTTGCTCTAAGGCCTTCTGATTAGACGAGATCGAAGAAGATTAAACGGAGTAAGTGCCTTTATGTAAAGGCAAGTGACTGCAGGTATGAGCCACATCTATAAACTACCTTTATCACAATACCCCTGCTAATTTGCATGCTTTCCCTACATTGTGAACTCTCCCATGAGTCAAATTGACAAATGTGCTCCTTTCATTCTTTTGTAATATCCCTGTATCATTGAATATTTTATATTATAGGATGACTGGCATTTATCTCTAATACATTCTGTGCTTCTTATGGGAGCTAATGTTTAATCTTTCAAGTAGGTACCCCTAACACAGCATCAGACACATAGGAACTGTTTTGAATAATTATGTAATAAATGGATGTTTATAGATATGTGCAAAATAGTCTGTAAATGGCTGTACATGTCTTTGTCAGTAACTGAATTTTCATAATTTCATTTTAAACGTGCATAAAAAATATTAAATATTATCAAGACATGGTTGATGAACTAAGCGATCATAATTTCAGGACACTGAGTTGCATAACCATTTTGGGTTAGTAAGTTTTGCTTAAGTCAGGGATATGTAATTAAATGATAAATAATACAATATTGAACTAAGTTGTAAAATATTAGTTTAGAGATATAAATCAGCAGTAACTGAGTTACTTCAAATCATCATATAAAAACCCATATGAACAGTACACATTGTCATCATTTTACAATATTTCTATGAGACAAGATGATTAGAAATGCTGCTCTAGACATTTTCATGTGTTATGGATACTACACATTAATAATTTTATCAATATTATGCCTATAAGGGTTAAATAATTTGGTTGTAATATTGTTTTGTTGCCTTACAACTTGCATAGCCTTGGGGTTAAATCAACATAATCTTAACATCACTGCCAAATCACTATTGCAGTTTTTTTATTACACTCTTGCTATGTTTCAAGAAAGATTTCAGTCTTTTATATCTAATTTTATAATATACTTGCAAGGTAGTTATTTCTGTTAATTATTTTTAGATGGCATGATTGATTGTCACAGAAGTTAATTAGTTGCCTTAACTTCTAATTATTGATACTGCTGCAGCCAGGAATAGAATGCATGCCTGTAAAACCGCAATCAAGTCTATTTCCTGGACACTACGCTTTGATTTTGTCTTTGTTTTACCCATAAAATGGATTTACCTACATTAAAAAAATTATATAAAGTAGTTTACTGATAAAGATGTGAGAATTATAGAATCTTAGAAACACAAAGGATTATGACAGATTCTCATTTTAAAGAAATTGAGGCTTATAGAAGCTTTACAAGCTAAGTGGCAGAAATTCCTGGACTAAAATATTTTTGCATTACTTGGAAATTCTAAGGGGCAAACAAATTCCATTTGAACATACTTAATGCCAAATATGTTAGCCCATAACCCACACCATTTTGTAATCATTAAATATGTGTTGTATTGATTATTTACCTATTGCCTCTCAGCAACAGTTCCACCCTGAATTCTCTGCTCTTTCATGGTAGGAACGGAGTTCGAGTACCCTATTCTCAGACTATTTTGCTGGTTAGTGTGCCGAGGTTCTGTCCTCACAAAGCATTGTTCAGATATTTGAAGGCAAGGAGAGGGAATAAAAGGCCTTATTTCTTCTTGGTTTTAGGTCTGTCAGCATTTCCCTAGCTTCCAGGTTTGTTTGGTGTTTTTTCACTGTGTTTTGCAATTCAATTATCAGATATGTTGAACTTCATCAGAGAGACCACAGTGTGGGCCAGCTCTGCCTCTTCAGTGGGCTGAATCCAGGACATAGGACAATGGGACCCTTTCTCCAAACACTAATATTTGGTGACCTCACTTTCTCATTTCTGTTGCTGCTCAGTGGATGGTAGCTGCTTACTGTTTCAATCATCTATCTTGCTTTCTGCTTTCAAACAAAAGTCTAACCAATTCCCTGTATTCCAGTCACTAAAAGGCAAACAACTGTGATTATCTTGTATTAATACAATAATTTGACCAGAAATATTTCATTTGAAATCTGAAATCCAGTAATTATTTTGTTCCTTCATAAAGTATTTTATGTAATTTTGTTTTTCAGTTCTCAGGGGAGTAGAATTTAATCAGATGTACTTCTGTTGGATAACCTGTAATGGGACAAGCTTGGTGACTCCTCATATAATGAAACACACAGCCGTAATGAAACACATAGCTAAAAGTGGCAAGAACAGTATCATTCACCTGGGTTTTACAACACAAGGGGCACACAGTCTGCATTTTGGGTAAGGGAACAATCAGAGTTATAGTCTAGGTGGACAGGTGGTGGTGGAGTAGGCGGGGCGGTCAATGACTTGATGGTTTCTTGGTTTTCAGATGAGCACCACCAGTCAAGGAACTGCAAGAAGAATGCACTGACAGAAAGGCCAGTAGACAGGGAAAAGGCAACATCCCTCACAGCTTTCTTCAGAGCTGACTTCATCTTCTCACTAACACTTCTGGCTGGTTGCTGTATCATGCTGGCTTCAGCTGGTCTATGCTCCAGAGCTTGTATATCCTCAACTGTCAGTTGACCTAGCTGAACTCCAGCCAGCTTCAGCAGTGGTGAGTGATGCTGAGATTTTCCTAGGATGTATCGAAGCTGTACAAGAAACCATCCTTCCCAGGCCATGTTAACAAATGGGTAGGCTGCCAGGAAGGGTCTGTAAAATCATTTCCAGTTGGAAGAAGGGGGATGAATAGAATATTCATCCTCTTCTCTCAGCTAGAAACCAGCTTCTCCAGCTTCACTTTCAGATAGAAAAGAAGAACCAGGGACATAATTGATTTCCAAAGCTGCTCCTTTAGGAGACCAGCACTAGCCAATCTGTGACACTTGTGAGTGTCCCCCATTACTATGCTCTTCAAGCCACAAAAGTTTTCAGAAAATGAGGCACTGGTTGTAGACAGATAATACTGCTGGAGCAGAAGATGTAGCAAAGATTTCATCAAACCACCTCCACAAGAAGCCATAGTGGGTGGGATGTGATTCTGCAAGAACCTTGAACACATGCTGAAGAGCAAGTCTCACTGCTGTCATTAAACTGTCTTGTGCTACTACCGCAAAGATGGATGGCTGGTCAACAGCCACAGAAGCAGTCGTGATGTGAGCCTGTGTTCAGCCATAGTTTTCTGTGGGTACTGGCTTTCACTTTTCCCACAAACTCGTGAGCATGAACGTTTTGGGGAGGAAGGGTATCAAAATGGTGCTCAGTCTTAAAGGTAAACTTTCTGCATGGTATCCAAAACTCCAAACTCAATGAACTGGGAAAAAAAAGATCTGTTCTCGAGGCAGACGGAGTCTCAAGGAGGTTAAGAACAAAGTTGACTCGGACGTGGGTGGAAGTGGTATGTGGTAAGGGGGTAAGTTATCAAATGCTGCATCTCAGGGCAGAACGTGGCTGTGTGGGACATGTGTCAGGGAAGGAGCACGATCCCCTGGACCTGCAAACCAGGAATCCCACCCCCACCACCAAAAATGAGAGCTCAAAAGCCAGCGGATTCTGAGGATTCAGAAGTGCCAGTGTGAGTCCCAGACACAAGGACTGGCTGCAGCTGTCTGCTTTGAGTATCCCCACCAGTGCCCACTCTTGCTCACTGACCCCAGATGAGGAACAAATAATATATACATATAAAAACATGTTTTATATATAACATATATAACATGTTATATATTTTATTATATATATGCATGTTATATATAACATATATAACATTATATATATTATTTATATATGCATGTTATGTATTTCTATATTATATATTATTTATATATAACATGTTATACTTTTTATATATATATAAATATATAAAAAACATTTTTTGAGACAAAGTCTTGCTCTATCATTCAGGCTAGAGTCCAGTGGCGCAAGCTTGGCTCACTGCAACCTCTGCCTCCTGGACTCAAACAATTCTCATGCCTCAGCCTCCCAAGTAGCTAGGACTAGAGGTTTGCACAACTACACCTGCCTAATTCTTGTATTTTCAGTAGAGACGGGGTTTGGCCATGTTGCCCAGGCTGGTCTTGAACTCCTGACCTAAAGTGATCCGCCCACCTCAGCCTCCCAAAGTGCTGGGATTACAGGTGTGAGCCATCGTGCATGGCCAATATTTATATATTATATGGAGTGGGTTTTCTTCTTTCTCAAGCAAAAAGAGATATTTTGACCTTTTTGCATTTAAATGAGGCAAATAACAAAGTATCATAGAGCCACAGTAATATAAATCTCACCAAGCAAATAGTTATGATATTTTAAACATTTCTGGTCACATGTTCATCAGTGCTCACATCGCAGACACTAGCTAATCCTGACTGTTCCTTGTGTTACCGCTGCTGTTCATGCTTTCCTCTCACAGTTGGAGTGCCCTTTCTTTTCATCCTCTTGTACACTTTGACCCTTCTCAAACTCAAAGGAAGTTAGCCTGGGGCCTGAACATGAAGCTTCACCTTTCATATTATACTTTTCAGAAATGTAAAGATACTTTATTACATTTTCCTGAAGAGTGACTGTTTCTCCTTTAATTGTATATATTTCAGTATTTATCACAATTTTTATAAAGATGGGGTACAAATTATAAGTACAAAACCCATTTAGTCATATATTTTAATTCCTGAATTCATTTAGCTTTGCCTTTCATGTATTATTTTGAATAACACAAAAATATTGCAAAATATGGTAAAAAGCAATGTGGCCTTTTATATCATCAACAATGCTTGCATTCAAAATACAACAACAGTGTCTTCTACTAAATACAAGTATGAAAGCAATCAACCAATTAAAGCCAACTTATAACTGAATAATAATTTAAGATTTTTAGCTCATAGTTCAATTTATTTACCTCTTCTATAAATATAACAAAAAGTTGAGTTTGTCACAAAATACATTGCTAAATTAAAATGTGGGGATTTTCTTTTCAGCATTGAAAAATTTTAGTAGATTAGAAAACTAATCTAAACTACCTGAAGGTGTTCTATGTCTGCAAAAACTAAAAGAAAGCCTTATGCAAACTATCACAAGAAAATAGTACTCAAATTTTAAGCAAAATAATACCCAATTTTTATTTTTTTACTAACTTACATTGATTTTAATTTTCTGTTTACTATATATATATATATATATATATATATATATATATATACTTTCAGCAAAACCTACAGCATATCTTTTTTGGACTAGTGTATTTTCTTTCCATCCAGATGAGTTGCTTTTAGCTCTACCCATCTCTAATATGTTACCAAGATATTTTAATAGTTGTTAGATTATGTAATATTTAGAAAATATTTTTCTCCCAGATGAAGACTAAATTTCCTCATTAAGAATATGAACTTCAAAAATATATTTAACTTGTTACTTTTTCTCTTTTTCTCTATATGTAGTTTTTCCCATTTTTCACCCTCAGGAAATGTTTATTAAGCTTCCAGTATTATTACCTTTGTACATGCAACAGATATTGGTAGTTACGCATCATGTACAGTCTAGGCACTGACATTACAGTGATAAATGAAAGATACTACCCCCATGTTTGGCTTACAAAATTTGGGAAGCTAGATAGAAAACATGAATATACTGTTGATCATGTAATTTTAATTGTGATTACTTCAGAGAACACATGCAAAAAGTCCTGATGCGGCAGGGCGCGGTGGCTCACGCCTATAATCCCAGCACTTTGGGAGGCCGAGGTAGGTGGATCATCTGAGGTTAGGAGTTTGAGACCAGCCTGACCAATATGGTGAAACCCCATCTCTACTAAAAATACAAAAATTAGGGATGGGTGTGGTGGCTCACACCTGTAATCCCAGCTCTTTGGGAGGCCAAGGCGGGCGGATCACGAGGTCAGGAGATCGAGACCATCCTGGCTAACATGGTGAATCCCCATCTCTACTAAAAATACAAAAAATTAGCTGGGTGCCTGCAGTCCCAGCTACTTGGGAGGCTGAGGCAGGAGAATGGCATAAACCCAAGAGGCAGAGCTTGTAGTGAGCTGAGATCACGCCACTGCACTCCAGCCTGGGCGACAGAGCAAGACTCCATCTCAAAAAAAAAAAAAGAAAAAAAATAAAGAAAATTAGCCAGGCATGGTGGTGTGTACCTCTAATCCCAGCTACTCGGGAGGCTGAGACAGGAGAATTGTTTGAACTCAAGAGGTAGAGGTTGCAGTGAGCCGAGATTGCGCCGCTGCACTCCAGAGTGACAGAGTGAGAATCTGTCCCAAAAAAAAAAAAAGTCCTTTTCCTTGAGTCACATTTCAGGTACCCAAAACATAGTCCATAAATATTATAAGACAAATGATTTTAAAAGGCAAAGTGCTGTTTGATTCCAAAGACTACAGAACTGAATCTTTTCTGTTCAGACAGAAAAGAAAACATCATCCCCCTATAGAAACAAGACAAATATACAAAATTAAAGAACAGTCCGGGAGATAAATTATATCAAAACAATAGCAAAATGTGAACAAAAGACATTTCCCAAGAATCAATTCCACATGAATTAGTCTGAAAGTAATTCCTCTGGCATTTATAAGATGAAGAGCTCTATTCAAGTTCAAGGGCTGAGGAACTGCTTGTTCCAAAAATTGACGTATCTGAGTTGTAATTCGATGGCAGAGAAGAATTTGTATGGGTGGAAAGGACATTTCTGGGTGTATTTCAGGCCGGTGAAATACAAGAAGGGGAAATCAAAGATAAATTGACAAAATAAACTTAAACAATATTACTGAGAGGTAGCAAAGGGATAATTTTTCACTTTGCTGCTCCTGCTGAAAGTGGCATTTCTTAAGAAATAAGAATTACCTGTAGAATAAAAAAAAATAAGCAGTTCTATATAGCAGTCAATATGTTTCTTACAAAAGCATGGGAAGCAAATTTCTTCCATCAGAAAAGCTCTGAAATAAGCAGCAAATGTGAAGATAATTCAGTAAAGAAGAAACAGACCTCTTGCATTTGTATATATGAGGTAATAGAAATAACAAAATACATAGCAAAACTTACAAAAAAAAATTTGTAAAGGTCCTGGCCTATAAACTCTCAATAGGGATAAAAGGAAAACTGTAACATTGAAAATAATTGACTTTGATGCAAGACTAGTGGAGAAACCAGGAGAGATACAAAACAGAGTAAACAAATAATGGGCAGCAAGGAATGTAGCAGAAATTTTCCAAACTACACTTAATTTATAAAACATGTGAAGACTGTTTTTTATTACACTGTTATTATATCTGATTATGTAAGCTGTTAGTGTCAAGCTGTTTAACTGTATATGCTGTATTTCAAGTTTGTCATAATCCTCAGTGAAAAATAGTGGTTTTATAAAGTCTCAAATTTTAAAAATACTGACTTTTTAAAGGAGCTATACCTAAGCAGGTAGATTAAGTAACCATTGCTAAAACATTTCTAGTTAAATAATGTACACAGCAGCATTTTGAAGAAGAAAATTATACATAACAGAAGGCAGATATACATTGCGGTAGAAACACACATGTTTATCCTAAGTCTTCCATTTTGGAAACTTCTTTAATTTTTTTGAGCCTTAATATCTTCAAAGAAGAAGTATTTAAAATTGATAATGCATATTTAATAGTTTGAGGATCATATATAGTATTTTTTACCTTGAAACTAGCATAAGTTGTTATTGAAGTATGATATTGAGTATATAGAAAAATCAAAAAGGTAATAATAGCAAATGTTATTAAGAAGCAACAGAACTCACATAAGTTTCTGACTTTTGAACTGAATTGCATAAAAGTTAATACTGCGCAAAGCAGCATAAAAGAGAATTGTGATTTGTATTATTTTAAGCCACTGCTTCTTAGGGACAAATTTGCATTTTGATTCAGTCTCTCAAACAAATGTAGCAATATGTAATAAATACATAAATAAACAAAAAATAAATAAATAAAAGCAACAACAAGTTTAGGCTCATTTCTAAGCCCAGGGACAAACCTAAAAATTCTTCTAATATAATTTTTGCCAGGCCTTCTATCCTAGTCCTGCTCTTTCATGTGACCTAGGTTATGAACTCAGCATATGTCCAAATTTTTAACTTTTCTCTATTTTTGGAGTACAGTTTTGCTAATGAAGCTCGGGGGCAAAAAGAGCTTAAATATGCATTATTTGGGATATTAAGATTTTCAAAAATTTTTTACAATTATCATTAAAGGTTATTTTAAAAATATAGTGTCCACCTATTGTTAAAGTAGCCTCTCCAGGATTACCTATTGAACTATAAACCGAAAGAAGAAAGAAATTTCAGTCTCCAATACTTAATTTTTATTCCTACAATTTTGCTCTTCCAAAATTTTGCTTGTGTTTATATACTTCTATATTTAAGTCATATATAATTCATATAGGCCTTAAGGGAAAACTGCTCTATTATAATAAAAGTAAAGTCCATAAAAACTAATTAGAAAATAATTACCAAGAAGACAAAGAAATGAGAAATGTTTCAAGCTTTGAAAAATGTCCCTTCTATATTAGTCTTCCACTTTGTCTTAGTAAGCTCAGGCTATTATAATAACATACTAGAATCTGGGTGGCTTAAACAACAAACTTTTTTTTCTCATATTTCTGGACATTGGAAGTTAGAGTGTCAGCAGTGTCAAGGTTCTTGGTGAGGACCCAGTTCTAGTTTATAAAACTTCTTCCTGTGTCCTCAAATGGCAGAAAGAGCCAGTTTACTCTCTGGTTTCCTTTCATAAGGGCATTAATTCCATTCACGAATACTCCACTCTCATGACTTGATCACTTCCTAAGAACCTCACCTCCAAATACTATCATACTGGGATTAGGGTTTCAACATATGAATTTGGGGAGACGGGGGTACATTCAGTCCATTGCAACTTGGTTATAAGTATGTGTTGTGAAATTCAATATTTAATGTTGATTTACTACAAGATTAAAATTTTGGAGTCATTTCCTTTTTTATATGAAGTGCACTCTAATTTTATAAACTTGGGAATTTGTCTTCAGTCATATTCCATTGAAGAAACAGGTAAGCCCATCTTAAAAAAATCTTCCATCCTACTTTGTAAAGAATTACCCATTTTGATAATAAATTGAACAAGTGTTTTAATTTTAGAATGTTAAATTTATCTCTATTGCCAAAGAGAAGTTATTATAACTTAAACATAAGACGATATTATCAAAAAAGATTTGATAAAAATTTGGACAAACAGCATACATATAAAAATAAAAATATCATTTCTTAATTTATGTAACAGCCAAAGTAACTATATTTGTTTTGGCACATCAGCAAATTCAGAACCATGGCAATGCCAAATGTCTGAACACTTTATAAAGAATATCTTATATATTCCATATATTATCTATAATTAATATTATTACTATTAATGATAATATATTATTATATATTATATATTACATATCTTATATAGATACCAAATATAAAATATCTAAACATTTTATAAAGAATATCTTATATTCACCCTTAGGCCAAAAAGTGAAAAATAATTTTGCCAGGTTTAAGAGCTTTTTTGTTTCTAATTTTTGTTTGTTTCTTTGTTTTATAAATAACCAATTTTTACATTTATTTTAGGTTATCTTATCTATTCTGATTTACTGTTGAGACTACACATCCCTATTTGGTGTAATAATGTTTTAATTATTTTAGTTGCAACTGGTAAAAACCTTTTTTTTCAAAAATATGTTTCTTGATTACTATTTTTTACATGGTAATATGAGTTTAATATGCATGCGTTTAAGCTTCAAAAGCTACAACTGGGATTTAGCTTAAAATTTCTAACTATGGCTGGGCTCACTGGTTCTCGCCTGCAATCCTAGCACTTTGGGAGGCCGAGGTGGGCGGATCACAAGCTCAGGAGATTGAGACCATCTTGGCCAACATGGTGAAACCCCGTCTCTACTAAAATACAAAAAATTAGCCGGGCGTGGTGGTGTGTGCCTGTAATCCCAGCTACTCGGGTGGCTGAGGCAGGGGAATAGCTTGAACCTGGGAGGCATAGGTTGCAGTGAGCTGAGATGGTGCCACTGCACTCCAGCCTGGAGACAGAGCAAGACTCCGTCTCAAAAAAAAAAAAAAAAAAAAAAATTCTAACCATGACAATTTGTAAACATATTGTTTCTACCATTTTCAGAATTACCTCTCAGAAATACTGTCTCTTACTCATTATTAAATTGATATATTATAATCCTTGGTAAGTTTTGGTATTATCAATCACCTCTATCAAATATATTTTTTCTTTGGCTGTTTCTGAAGTATTCTATTTTGGTTATTTAGTGATAAAAATACTTTTAAAAGAGTTCTCTTCATTTTAACTATGTCATAAACCTCTGTATTTTGGCTTATTTTTGTCAAATCATGCAATTGGAAATGTATTACTTCTATGGGCATTCCAATGGATTTCCATATCATGTATATTTTATGATCATTATATATCTATGACCATTCTCTTTCATTTCATGTTTTAACATAATCACCTTAGCATTTCATATTTTAATTGAATTAATATTGATATATTTTAATGTTTATTTTTTCAATTTCCAAGGATTTTAAAAAACATATGTTGTATTTTATCAAATGCTTTTAATCCCATTTTTAAATTTTCTAATTTTTGTATTTTATGATAGACCACATTTATATAATCCTTAAATATAATTATTACTTGTATTTCTATGAAAAATTTATATGAGAAATATATTGGCTTGGTAAAGCTTCTGCCAATACACTACTAAATTATTTTAAATATCTGATTAATTTTTATCTATATGGATAATAAAAACTAGTATTTTTTAAAGTGACTACTATACAGCAAGTACTTTCTCAAAAATCATACAAGGAGCTACACAAATAATTATTAACAAGACGAGCGCTGGTTTACATTACGAATTAGAGTTGGCTAGGTGTGGTGGCTCACATCTGTAATTCTAGCACCTTTCCAGCATGCCTGTAATTCCCAGGCAGGTGGATTGGGGAAACATGGTGAAACCCCATCTTTAAAAAAAGAAATAAAAAATTTACCCAGGCATAGTGGCATGCGCCTGTAGTCGCCGCCACCCTGGGAGCCTGAGGTGAAAGGATCACGTGAGCCCAGGAGGTCCCAGGAGGTCAAGGCTGTAGTTGGCTGTGATTGCACCACTGCACTTCAGCCTAGGTGACAGAGCAAGACAAGAAAAGAAAGAAAGAAAGAGAGAGAGAGAGAGAGAGAGAAAGAAAGAAAGAAAGAAAGAAAGAAAGAAAGAAAGAAAGAAAGAAAGAAAGAAAGAAAGAAAGAAAGAGAAAGGAAGGAAGGAAGGAAGGAAGGAAGGAGGGAGGGAGGGAGGGAGGGAGGGAGGGAAAGAGAGAGAAAAGAAAGAGAGAGAAAGGAAGAAAAGAAAGAAGGAAGGAAGGAAGGAAGGAAAGAAAGAAAGAAAGAGAAAGAAAACAGGAAAAGCAGGAAAAGCAATTTAGAGTTTAGAAGAATGGAGTTAACTAGACTTCAAATGATTGGGGAAGAATCATTGATTCTTCCAACGACATGTCTTCCAGTGATTCTGCCAATGATATGTGGCAAGTGTTCCATATTCTAAACTGAGCCCCTAGGTTTTCTTTAGAGCATTAGGAAAGAAAAGGTAAATTTGTTTTTATTTATTTTTAAGGTAAAGAATAGAGAAGAAAATATATTTGGAAGGAAACGTGAGAAGTTTCCTATCATTTTTCTTCCCATTTTTTAGTGGAAGGAGTGGATAAAAATACCTCCTCACACTGACATATCCTCTTTGAATCTGGGTACAGTGGACACTGTCTATTTCACATACGATTAGCCTGAGGTTTTGCTATCTACCTGAGATGGCTAAACAGGAGAGAGAAAATACTTCATTGGGAGCTAGCTACACATACATAAATTTGGATTGTACCAGATACGTGCTATGCAAAAAGAGAGCCAAGCTGAGACCATTTAAAATGCTCCTTAGAAATACTATCTGGAGGAATTACATAATGTCAACAACAGGGTGGACATCTGGAAGTCCAGGCACTGAGAAATTCATAAGCAGTCAGCCCAAGTGAATGCATTGCCTCAGTCTGGAAAACTAAATTTAGACATTCTTTGAGCTGGCATGTCTTAAAGTTAAGAAACTTAAAATGTACCTTACTATAGAGTAATCTTTGGCCAGATTCCAAGCCCCAAGAGATCCAAAATCAAATCATTATGCAACCAAGCAAGTGAAAATGTTTTTGCCCTTTAAACATATTTTCTAACTTCCTCCCGGCTGTTTTCCCTGGGAGGTCAAACGCCATGATTAATAAGCAAAGGAGAAAAGTAGGAGAGCAATGTGGGGGATGAAAAAGTCTACCAAATGTCCATTTCCAAATTGGATCTCCAGCCTCATATAAGGCCAAGTCAGTGAAATGAGGAATCTTTAAATGAAACTTCGAGTTTCACTATTACACAGGATAATTTAATTTTTGATTACATAATCTTTTGTGAGACTGAAAGTAACTGCAGAAACGGCTATGTTGTCATTTTGTTGAGTAACTACTAAAGTCACAAGAAATTCCTTTAATTTCATACAACAGAAGGGAAGAATTAGCCCCTCAGAATGGGTTTAATCAAGAAGAGGTTTGTTTATCTTGCATCATATGGAGTCCCACTCTAACTCTTGACTTAGAATACAGTGGAAAATATGGCGTAGTATTTCTAATACACCAAGACCGATATATTGCATAATTATAATATGCTTCAGCAATAAAAAGAGGTGTCTGGGACTCAGATACCTTATAATTTGAGTAATTTTTTTTTTTTTTTTAAGATGGAGTCTCACTCTGTTGCCAGGCTGGAGTACAGTGGCACGACCTCGGCTCACTGCAACCTCTGCCTCCCGGGTTCAAGCGATTCTTCTGCCTCAGCCTCCTGAGTAGCTGGGACTATGGGCACCTGCCACCACGCTCAGCTAATTTTTTTTTTTTGTATTTTATTAGAGATGGGGTTTCACCATGTTGGCCAGAATGATCTCAATCTCCTGATCTCGTGATGCGCCCGCCTCGGCCTCCCAAAGTGCTGAGATTACAGGTATGAGCCACTGTGCCCGGCCCATTTACCTTTACTTTAAAATATATATATATAGTATTTTCTTGCTTAATTGCACCATAGTAAATATAGTCATTCTTTTTTTAATGGAAGTTTGGATGACGTCTTTTTTCTTTCTAATGTTACAAACAAGGCAGCCATGAATATTTATGTACACATCTCTTGTTGAAAATGTTAAGTTTTATTTAGAATGCCTGACATATGCTCATTTTCTTTATTAAAAATATTAACACATTTTGTTTTAAATTTATTTATTCTATAAAAAATGTGATTAGACCAGTTTTACACTACTATATATATTTTTTAAATGTATAAGTTTCAGAACACATGATTTTTTGTTCTCATAGTGGTCTTTTTTCCTGTGTCATTTATTTAGTTCTAAAAATAAATTTATTTTGTGTGCTTTTTATTGTTTAGACTATATTGTTCTGCTTTTATTTCCTCAGAAATTATCATTATACATAATGTTTTTAATTTTATCATTGCTACATGTGTAAAACACACATTTAAGATTAACTGTTCTTCTCAAACAAGAGGAGTATTTTTTTATTTTCTCCTCGATAGTATAAGGATATCTTTAGGTTTTTGGAATTTCCAAATACCTTTCAATACAATTTGAAGTGTTAGATAACTATCATGTTTACTAAATGTTAGACACTCCATATCTTCTTTCCTAAGACAAGTGATTTAAAGTGTACTTTATCATTGTGTTTTCACTTTATCATTTGTTTGGATGTATTTATCTCTTGGTTGCAAGTTACTTAACACTTTGTATGTGTGTGCAACAGGAAGAAGAAATGAAAGTGATCAAGAACAGTACATTATCTGACTTTCTGTTTATTTGGAAATGCCTTGTGTTTGATTTTCTACATGGGTGACTATTCCCCTGAGTATAACATTCTTACTTTAGAATTCTTTTAGTATTCAAAAGATGCTATCACATTGCTGTCTGACATTTAATGTGAGTGAGTCTAGCCTGATTTAATTTCTTGGCAAATAAAGGAAATATGGGTCAATGCTAATAAAATACTGTAGTTAATTTTAATGGTTTTTTTCTGAGATTTATTTAGATGTTATACATTATGTGTTAAACTAGATGAATTGGCTTTTCTTTCTTCCAAAAAATACATTAATATAATGCTCAAATATCATTACTTACTTTTTTCCTTTTTTATTGTTTGGCCTGAATACATACGCAAAGTTCAGTAAAATAGTATTTTATTGCCAAAGAAAAATAAAAAGCACTAGATGCAAACAACATTATTTTCTTCTTCATATATATAACCAAACTTTTATTAAGAAAAAATTTATTCAACTATATTTAGGTTATTTCTTCTAGTCTGAGAATTAAGTTTTTATGAAATGTATTCTTCCAATCAATAAAAATTATACAGATTGTTTGATTTTTTACATGTATTATTATATAGGTATTATTTTCTTTTATTATTATTTCTGTTCTTATTAAACTATCTTGTGAAGATTTGCCTTTTTTTAACACTATTTTACTCTTCTAAAATTTCACATTTATTTTCAACTTCCTTCAATGACTATTTTGACCTATTTAATTTTCAATTCTACTTCTATTGTTCCTTTGATTGGACAATATATTATTTGTTTTTGCATTTATTATCATGCCTCTATAAAATAAATATCAAAATACTTATTATTCAGCTGTTTGTTTGTAATTTACCTTCTTGTATTTTTAAAATAATTCTTGTCAATGTATTGATCCTGTTACAATAAGACATTTTGTCACCTCCCTATGAATATACCAAGAAATGTTTTTTAAATATTTTTATACAGTTTTATGGTAAATTGTATGATTATAGCATGATCTCATTTTCATTATTGTGACAATCATCCCTTCCTGGAGCCTTAGTTCATCTCCCTTTGTCTGTTTTATCTCTTTTTTCTGTTTATTCATTGATATTAGTATTTGTAACAATCAAAGGCAATATTGACCAAGAGATAAAATCTTTGAATTGTTCTTGATAATGCTCACATTAATTTTATTCTAGTAAATTTATTTGCCAGAAGGGGAGCAAGGGGAGGAGTTTGCTGTGAAAACGTGTTAATCTTCATTATTCAACCTCACAGTTTAAATATCTATACACTAATTTAGTGAATATTTTCAGAGGATTTATCCACTGATGACTTAGACACATTAAATTTTAAATGCTGGACCACTTTTTAAAATGAACTTCCTATGTTACAATGCTCAGCTGGTATCAAATGTATCTTGTTCCCAGTAATATTGATGCTAGGAAAGGTAATGTTTGAATGGTTATTAAAAAAAAAGGATGTTTTTGTGGATTGGTGAGTATAGGAGTAGATCACTAACAACTTTTCAACTGCCCTCTGGCTAATTTAGAAGCTCCTTGAATTAAAAATTGGATAAATGCCTACTTATTTGTTGAATGAAGATAACGTGATTCACGGTTTATTCTGTTCAGGCTGCTATAGCAAAATATTATGAACCAGGTGGATTCAAAATAACAGAAATTTATTTCTCATAGCTGTGAAGGCTGGCAAGTCTAAGATCAAGGTCCTGACAGATTCAATGTCTGGGAGTATGATGAGAGTTCTGGCTCATTGACAGCCATCATTTCGCTATGTCACCACTGGTAGTGTCAACAAAAAGAGGCAAACTCTGTAAAACATTTGAAGAGGTTTATTCTGAGCCAATCATGAGTGACTAATGGCTCATGAAACAGCCCCAGAAAATCCTGAGAACATGTTCCCAAGGTGGTAGGGTTACTGCTTGGTTTTATACATTTTAGGGAGACATAAGACCTCAATCAATATATATAGGATGTACATTGGTTCTGTCAAGAAAGGTGGGATAATTATAAGCAGGAGCTTCCAAATCATAGGTAGATTCAAAGATTTTCTGATTGGCAATTGACAATTGATTGAAAGAGGTTTTATCTAAAGATCAAGAATCAATAGAAGGGAGTGTCTGGGATTAAGACAAAGGGTCATGGAGACCAGGGTTCTTATTATGCAGATAAAGCTTCTAGGTAGCAGGCTTCAGAGAGAATAGATTGTAAATGTAAATGTTTCTTATCAGACTTAAAATGGTGCTAGACTCTTAGGTAATTCTCTCCTGGGTTTGAACAAAGACCTGAAAAGGGCAGGTGATTTTCTACATAATGTAGATTTTCCCAATATACAGCTTTGCAGGGCCATTTCAAAGTATGTCAAAAATATACATATATTGGGTTAAAATACTTCAGTTTCTTTCAGGGCCTGCTATTTGCCATGTTGGTGTCTTATTGCTACAAAGAATCTACTTTGTTAGTCCAAAGGTCTCTGTTTTAATGTTAATGCTAGTCAACTGTGCCTGAAATCTAAAGAGAGGGAAGTATAATGAGGCGTGTCCAAATATTCATTCCCATTATGATCTGAATTAGCGTTTCAGGTTTACTTTAGAATGTCCTTCAAGAAAAAGTGTCCGTTCAGTTGACTGGGGGACTCAGAATTTTGTTTTTGGTTTATAGTAGAAGGGGTGAGGAAGCTCTCTGAATCCTCTTTTATAAGGGCTCTGCAATTATAACATAATCACCTCCCAAAGGCTCCACCTTCTAATATCATACCTTGAAGGTTACAACTTCAACATATGAATTTGGGGTTGGGGTTGGGCTTGGGGTTAAGGGGCACAAATATTCAGACTATGGCAGTTCAGGACAAAACAAAGGAGATGTAAATGTTTTCCAGGACTGTAACACAACAGTGCTACAGAGGACAAGTCATATGCTGGTTAACAGTTTTGCTAATTGTTTCATTTTCATGTCCATTATGGGTCTTCCAGCCAGATTTCATTAATAGTTCGCCGTTTTCTTTCTTTTCTTTTTTTTTTTTTTTTTGGAGACAGAATCCTGCTCTGTCGGCCAGGCTGGAGTGCAGTGGTGTGATCTCAACTCACTGCAACCTCTGTCTCCTGGGTTCAAGCGATTCTCCTGCCTCAGCCTACAGAGTAGCTGGGACTATAGGCACGTGCCACCATGCATGGCTATTTTTTTTTTGTATTTTTAGTAGAGATGGGGTTTCACCGTGTGAGCCAGGATGGTCTCGATCTCCTGACCTCATGATTCGCCCACCTTGTCCTCCGAAAGTGCTGGGATTACAGGCATGAGCCACTGCGCCTGGCCTGGAGTTATTTTTTTAATATTGTGCATTGTATATTTTTTTCTGTTTTCATAGATTTATTTAGGAGAGTGTATGACATGATGAAACAGTGAGACAGTACTTGGTAAGCTTAGTAGAGGCCACCTTAAATAGCAATCTCATTCCTTCTAGTTTTTCAGTCAAAGAAGAAAAAGTACAAATGAAATATTTGCTTGCACTAATCAAAACACACAGCAAAAATTCTGAGCAAAAGTGTCTCTGAAAAATTAGAGAACATTTAAATTTATTTCCCAAGTGAAAGAATAAATTCGATAGTATAAGAATAGTAATTGGTATTTGTTTACACAGACACACATGTCAGAAGCATGTGAACCAGAGCAACTCCATCTTAAATAGGAGCTGGGTAAAATGAGGCTGAAACCTACTGGGCCGAATTCCCAGATGGCTAAGGCATTCTAAGTCACAGGATGAGACAGGAGGTCAACACAAAATACAGGTCATAAAAACACTGCTGATAAAGCAGGTTGCAGGAAGGAGCTGGCAAAAACCCACCAAAACCAAAATGGTGACGAAAGTGACCTCTGGTCGTCCTCACTGCTACACTCCCATCAGTATCATGACAGTTTACAAATGTCATGACAACATCAGGAAGTTACTCTATATGGTCTAAAAAGGGGAGGCATAAATAATCCACCCCTTGTTTAGCATATCATCAAGAAATTACCATAAAAATGGGCAATCAACAGCCCTCCAGGCTGCTCTGACTATGGAGTAGCTATTCTTTGATTCCTTTACTTTCTTAAAAAACTAGCTTTCACTTTGCAATGTGGACTCCCCCAGAATTCTTTCTTGAGCGATATCCAAGAACCCTCTTTTGGGGTCTGGATCAGGATGCCTTTCCTGTAACACACAAACCACCACCATCAACAACAAAGCATTCCTTCTTTATAAAGATACACTTCCAGGCATATACCTCCCTTGGTGTGGATATTTTTATATTTGGGTTGTCTGCTGTAGCTAAAGTAATAATAATTAAGAAGTTCCAAAACAAAGAAATGATAAGGACTCAAGGTGATGGATACCAGAAATGCCTGACTTGGTCATAACATATTCTATGCATGTAGAGAGCTCTTACATGTACCCCAGAAATATGTAACACATTACGTATCAATAACAGAAAAATATGTAAAATAAAATAATTTTTTAAAAAGCAGTTACATACAAAATAAGACCCTATTGATTTTTGTTATTGTTTTATGAATTAGAAAAACAAAGACCAACATCGGCTTATAGTCACATAACTAACTAGGAATAAATTAGAAAAAAAAATCTTTTTTTTGTCACAGATATCAAGTTATTCATTGAACAACTATAATGTAAGAAGACTGTAATTACCAAACATTCCTGGGGTTGTGGCAACCATACGGCCCTAATTTGACATGCAGACATTTTAGCTAACTCCTCTTTTTAAAATCCAGTAAATGTATTTAATGCTACAGTGTTATTAAATGAATATTATAGCTTACAATCAACTGGATCTTAGAATCACAGAAAATTTCATTTGCTCAATGAACTATCAATAGGAACTAAAAATAGGTAAGTAATTATTCTTCAGTGTAAGAAAATTTTGGTCTACTTGAAAAAATATATGCATGTATTATATTCAGATTCTTTATAGATATGTTTGATATATGTGTATATATACTTATATGTATATTATATTTATGTATTTGTGTATATATGCATATATAAAAAATAAGGAAAGAATAAAACCTAAAAAAATACAATATTAAAATGAATACTTCAAAATGCTATCTATATTTTAAAGGAAATCTTTTTTACTGAGAAAAATATCCTGGTAAAACATTAGTCTATGTTCTAAAAATTCAAACTAAATCACTAAAGCTACATGTTGTGTTAAAATAAAATAAGTAGTCTCTTTCTCTGAGTTTTATTAGACTGAGTTGAGATTGGTAACAATTCACAAATTGAGAAAATGTTATTATTTCAAAAATTGATGATTATTTGTCCAATAAATAATGTGATATAAATTCATTATTACTCCTCAAAATTTCATAAGACTATGAAGTACTTCATGACTGTCTTTAGATATCATTTCTTCTGCTCCTTCAAAAGAATTTCCACCAAGATGCAATCAGTATTTGTCAAATTATCAATCATTTTATCATTCCAATGCTTGTAAACCTTTAAGCATTATATCTAATCTCACTTAAATTATTCAGAAAAATGTTTAACTGTGAAGAAACTATAGATATTACACTATATGTTTGTTGACAAATATTACATTGTTGACAACTTAATTTTTATTATCTAATGTTTGCTCTGTAAGCTCATTTTAACTTTATAAAAATTTATGTAGGAAATGTTATTGGCTATTTAAAGTTGTATTTACTTTCTCTTATTTTAAACTTAAAGTTAGTACTTTTCTCTAAAGTATCATTTTTAACAAAATATCTATTAAGCATGGAATCAAAATATGTGTACACATGTACACTGGTTTATCACCAAAATTTTTAGCACTTCCTCTCTCCACCATCCAGACAATATGGTAGTTAATAAGAAAAAAAATTGAAGAAACATAAAATATAGGCCATAATATTATTAAAATTAAGATGACTGGCAAATGTCAGTTAGTGTAATTAAAAGCCTAATTTACACTCAATATGAATAATATTTATCAGATTATTTATTCATTTAGCAAACTACATTATTGAATTTGACATGTATTATGTACCAGGACAATATTGTATATTATAAAACCTATTCATTAGTTGTCTCTTTAAGAACAGATTATTCTGTTTTGAGGATCGTTCTGCTAATCAAAGTATTATGCTGGAGAGCAGAAAGAATGCATATGTCATTTGCAAATAAATGATTAGCAATTCTCAATTCCCCACAATAGAAAAGTAGTTAATATTATCACATAGTTATTATACTATGCAAGGAAAGAGTGACTCCATCTGGGACAATCATCAGCATCTTTGCAACTATTTACACAAATTCAGTAAAAAAGGTAGAGGACTTCCAACATTTTCCTTTAGAGAGATATAATGACTGGCATTATCACCGACTGGGATATCTTTTTTCAAATGATTATTGATCTGGTTTGGATCTGTGTCCCTATCCAAATCTTATGTTGAATTGTAATCTCAGTGTAGGAGGTGGGGCATGGTAAGAGGTGATTGGATCATAGGGGCAGCTTTCCTCCTTTGGGGCTAATCTGGTGATAGAGTTCTTGTGAGATCTGGTTGTTTAAAAGTGTGCGACACCTTCCCTCTCACTCTTCCTCCTGCTTTGACCACATAAACGCTTGCCTGCTTTCCCTTTGACTTCTGCCATGAGTAAACGCTCCCTGAGGCCTCCTCAGCCATGCTTCCTGTACAACCTTCAAAATCATAAGCCAGTTAAACTTTTTTTTTTAATTATAAATTACCCAGTCTCAGGCATTTCTTTATAGCAATGCAAAATCAAACTAATACAATAATAGTTTACTACGTAATCCATATTTACTTACGTTCCCATTGTTAACTATGGTTTCCAAGATGATGGAACTAGACAATAAAATATAAATTTTTAATTTTAAAATTATGAATTTCTCTGATGAAATATTTTCTTCTCTTCAGTATATAGTTGTCAGAGAAATAATCACATAATTGGCATTATTTCAAAGATGTACAATGGAACAAGTGTGATTGTAATATTTAATGAGGAAAACCAAGTCACCATCTAATTTTTGACTCTATAAGGAAAGTCAATTTTTAAAAATGCAAATTCCAATATCCGAAACTGTATTTATTTTTATTTTTGTGCTTATTTTTCCATATTATATGCTTTAAAGATTTTGTTAACTTTCTAACTAGAGTATTACTTCTTTTAGAATAATTCTTTCTATGCAATATTAAACCTAAATTAAAAAGAATAATTCTTGTTTGAACACGTTATATTATTTAAATATAGATATATTGGTTCTTGCACTTACTGGCTTTTGCTTCATTAATACATATCAAAGTAACATGTAAAATTCATATATTATTGTCTCAGCTTAATAAATTATAGAGCAGAACACTTTTAATGACACAAATCCATTAATCTATATCCACATCTGCAGTATTTTTTACCTAGTAACTTCTCTGTATTTTCTTACATTTTGAATATATAAAAATCCAGAGCATCGTTTTCACAAAGTAAACATTGCATCTATATTTTTGGATGCTGCGTTTCACTCTTAAGTGGTCAAAAATAGTGTTTTATTTTAATCAAGGGAAATAAAATCTAGATAGACAAGGTAAATATCTAGGTAAATTAAGACACAGCCATAAACATAAAACTTAAGGCCAAACTACTAAAAAAATTCCAGTTAGCAGGTCTTGGATGTAAAAAATACAATTTAGATATGTGATAAAATATGTTCATCAAATGAAATTAATAAATGATCATTTTGTTATGCTAATAATGGCTTATGAATTATATTTACCACATGGAAGAAGAAATAGAAAATGTGTTAATTCTAACTTTATTCAGAGCTGCACCACTGCACACATTCAATAAACATCTTTCACATCACATATGTAAGGCAATGTCTGGAGTTGGAAGACATAAAGTTTGTAGCTGTGCACAGTGCCCTTCTATACCAAGGATTTTGGTGCAGGAGATCACACCTATGAGTGCAAATGTAATCCAAATTCCTCAATTTTGCAAACACCCATTCTTCCCCAAAGTATTGTTTTAAGATTTAGCAATACATTTAATCACCACAAATTAGTTCATTCATTTTGCAAAATGGAAATGAAATTACTGTAGTATTACAAGTATTCTTGTAAAAGTTAAATTAAATAATACCTACCAAACTAATTGATTCAGCCTATATAAATAATTGAAAGCATAACTGTTGTTACCACTAAATTAATTAAATTATTTTAATTTCATATAATTGTTATTCAATAACATAAGCCAAAAGTTTTCATTGCAAAATGAACCACTATGCTTTATAGAGTGATAACAATTTTAAAACGTATTTTAAAATACTAGGTATTCACAATAAAGAAAATATTACTTTAGAGACCAAAAACAAATGATTGATGTGCAAGCTGGAGAAAAACACATTAAATCATAAACATTATTTTATTTCCTTAAATATTGAAGAGTGTGGCTCTTTTGGAAAAGAGAATGTAAACAGATTCTTGAAGTGTTATCACTAAATCATGTCTAAACAATGTAAAATCAGTCCAGAGTGTTTCAGAGCAAACCTCTAAAAGTAATGATATGTAATTCCTGTATAGCATACACAGGTTACTCCAGTTAAATCTCATTTCTCTTTACCACAAAAGAAAGAATTCAGAAAAATAATTGTCAGAGTCAGTAAGATAACCTGAAGCTATAACAGAAAAGTGGTTAACAGAGGAAAAACTTTTAAAAAAGAAGAAAAAAACACTGATAAGAATATATATAAAAGAATGCAAATGGCCCATTATTAAGAGGACATAAGGGTTTCTAAGTAAGCCTGATGTATTTTCATTGGCAAAATTGCATTTTATATGTCAAAATGCTGTGATCAATTATTTTTACCGTACAACTAAATAGAGTTAAAGGTACTCCAAGAGACATGGACACTCTTTCTTCAGAGTGAATTTCACTGGTTATGTCACACAATTTTATATTTAGAACCAACCAACTCAATTACATATCTCAATTTCAGATTTATCTGTCTTAGTAGTTAAATGTATTAGTTCATTTTCACTCTTCTATGAAGAAATACATAAGACTGGGTAATTTATAAAGGAAAGAGGTTTAATTGACTCACAGTTCCACATGGCAGCAGAGGCCTCAGGAAGCTTACAGTCACAGTGGAAGGGGAAGGAAACGTGTCCTCCTTCACATGGTGGCAGGAGATAAAATTGCCAAGTAAAGTGTGAGAAGCCCCTTATAAAACCATCAGATATTGTGAGAATCCGCTTACTATCACCAGAACAGCATGAGGGTAACTGCTCTTATGATTACCTCCCACAAGGTCACTCCCATGACACATGGGGATTATGGGAACTACAATTCAAGATGAGATTTGGGTAGGGACACAACCAAACCATATCATTAAACATATTTCTATTTCTATATCTATTTTACTCCTTTATACTTCAGCATTCAGGAAATTTAAAAGAAATTTGACTGATTCAGAAAATACTTATTCAATTTTTATTCACTTATTTAACAGACATTTATTGAGCCTTCATTGTGCTAGGCACAGCTTTAGACCCTAGGAATATGCTGATGAGGAAAACATACTCTTTCATGAAGTTTACTTTCTACTGAGGGAGTTTGAAAGTAATCAAGATAAATATATTAAATATGCAACATGTTGTATGGCCACAAAAACAAAAGAGAAAAGTAAAGCAGGAAAAGGAAAATAAGAAATGTTGAAAAGGTTTTGCAATAGCTTCAAATTTGGATCCTGAGCTACTGAAATATCATTGCTACCATTTACCAAAATGAGAAAGACTATGAAAAGACAAGGCATGTGGGTAATATCAGAAGCTCAGTTCTAGGTGCATTGTTTTTGATGTTTGTTTATTATTCCTTAAGATTCAAGATTCTGTGGTTCCTGGGACAGATCTAGGCTAGAAACGCAAACTTGTGAAATATTAGTATATGTATGTATTTAATATGGAAAAGCAGGAAGCTGTATGACATCACTGAAGGAGTAAATATGGATAGAAAGAGACTCAGTCCAAGGACTGAGCCCTAACACACTCCAGTATTAAGAGGTTAGAATATATAGATGAAGAGAATACAGCAAAGCATACTGAGGTACATTGTTTAAAATAGGAGGAAAACAGGATGAGTGTGGTGAACTAAAAACCAAGTGAAGAAAGTGTTCCAATGAAAGTTAAATGTGCTAAATGTTCTTGGTATTAAAGACAGATGAATATTGACAAATAATAATAGGATTCAGCAACATGGATATAATTAGAAAACATGACAGGAAAAGTCTTGTGGTTGGCTGGAATAGGTGGAGTGGGTTCAAAGATTTCAAAATGTTAAATGAAATGAGTGAATGAGGCCAGCTTAATCAGTTGAGGTTAAACAAACCAGCTTTCACACAAGTCACAGACACAACCATCACTGTTTTTTCCAAAGAGGTTCTCAGGAGGTTTAGTATTTATACATTTTCCTAAAAAGAGGGGAGGATGCAGTGAGACAAATCATTACATATTTGTGAGATTTTAGTTAGTGCCCAGTAAATCTACATTTTACATAAGATAAAGTGAACATTTGAAGAAAAAGGAAATAGAATAAGAAAACAATTATGCAGATTTCTGGGTAGGGGGTGAAGGAACAATTGATCTCATCTTACCTTTGTTTTGCACTAGAAATATAAACTAATAATGGACGTCTATCAGTGTGGAAGCCAACAGACTTTGGTTTTAGAAGTTAGACATCTATTGCAGATCTAGAGTTTCAATTTACATGACCTTGTTTTGTGGGAAGATACACATTTTGAAGGTTTTGAGGCTGGTAAAGAATTTACTTATGAGTGTTTTTGTGGTGAGTAGTCATCAGAAAATGTCTGAGGTTTTTGCCTTACTGTGGGGTCTGTCTAATGTATAATGGGTTTTGTTTGTTTGTTTGTTTTTTGGAGACAAGATATCTAGCAGAGTGCAGTGGCATGACCATGGCTCACTGCAGCTTCTGCCTCCTGAGCTCCAGCAATCCTCCCACCTCAGCTTCCCGAGTAGCTGGGACCACAGGCACATGCCACCACACCCAGCTAATTTTGGTATTATTTGCAGAGAAGGGGTTTTGCCATGTTGCCCAGGCTGGTCTCAAACTCCTGGGCTGAAGCCATCTAACCACTTTGGCCTCCCAAAGTGCTGGGATTACAGGCATGAGCCACCATTGTATAATGTTTTGACACCAGATTGTAAAGTAAAAGTTATTCATGTTATTCATCAGGGAAGAGGATGGCAGCATAGGGTGATTCAGTCTCCAAGCTTAACTTTCCCTTTGGCATAAGGAGTTTTGGTGTCCTGAGATTGTATTTTCCAAGAGAAATTGGAAGCAGTTTTAATAGACAAATCTTTATAGAGTCTTGTGCAAAGCGAAGGACTGTAATCATAAAAGGATGGAAAGACAATAGTGCATCATTGTTTATTTTTTTATTTTTTGGTTGAGACAGAAATTATGGCACATTTATATGTTTATGGAAACAATCCAGAATGGGAACATTTGATGCTAGAGAAGAAAAAAAGGGATAGTATTGTAAGAGTAAATACAAATCTGAAGAAAAATAATAATAATTTTCCTTTCTGTAAGAAGGAAAAGAAACTACTTCCCCTTTCTTTTTTCTTAGAGCAGTTTCTTTAGAGAGCTGGTCATTACAAATTCTTTTTCTGCTTCTTTGATATGTATGTAAATCACTGTAAATGCCAAATAAACATCTTGCTGATTTTATGGCCCAGGGATGTTTTTCTCAAGGACCTGGGAGGTATATCTTTGAAATGCAACCATCAAGGAATATAGAGCCTCTATCTCCAGTTTCTCTGGGCGTGTAGGAGCCTAACTTTAGTGGGTACCTCACTCCAAGTTGCAAAACTACTATCCATCATAAATGTATTGTTTACTTTTCCTTTAAATAAAGCCAATTAGCTGAGACAGTCACCACAAGTACCAGGTGAATTTAGGATGAACAATGTGTAACAAATGTCGCTGTCATGTCCTCTTGAAAACAAGTATATCTTGAGCACATGTATGTAAAGAGTTGTATCTGCTTGGCTTAACAAAGCATAAGAGTTCTTTCTGCCTTTGTATTCTCTTTAGCAGGCTGCCTATGATGTGCATCACATTCTGATTTAGGTTTATTCAGTAATAAAACTTTTCTTTCTATTCTTTTGTGGGGGTGTTTCTGGGTTGGCAGGAAATTCTGTTTTTAATGATATTTTCCTGACAACATTCATTGAGTCAGTACAGGGATTGGTTTCAGCTAGGAGCTCAGGTAGTTCATCTTTGGAACAGAACAGAAGGTACAGTACATGGTTACAGAAAAGAAAAGCGTGTAGGAATGGTGATGGAAACTCTTTTGATTGTTCCTCTTTTCTCAGTGAAAAAAGGAAGTGATATCAACAATAAGAGATAGGATGTGGTTCCTTGTTTGAAGTGCAAAAGGAATCTAAGATCACAAATTCTCACCTAGTAGAGTGATAAAGGTGACGGAATATAAAATTTTTTCTAGGCATTGCTAAAGGCCAGAGAAGAGTACTGCTGATTAATTTAAACTTAAACCAGTCAGGATAAAGGTATTTTTCTCCATATATCTTGAAGCACACTAGTTCTTGCACTAACTTGGGGAAGAGTTATTGGGCTAAATTTTAAGACAAGTAAGCCTGAAAAACAATGAAAAAAAACAGGAAATAATTAAGACTTTTAAGTAAGTGAATAATTCTAGTGATTGATCATAGAATTTACCTGATACATACATTTCAGATAGTCAAAACATATTATTAATTGCCTACAAGAGACAAGAATAAAACATAAACAACAGAATAAAACATGAAGAACAGAATATCCCTTATGTTCCATGAGAGACAGCACTGTGAATTTATGTAAACACATTAGTAAATGAGCATTTATTAGAAGTATTAAGTGCAGGGGACAATGTAAAATGGAAGGCTATCTTAGAGATAAAGCTGAAAATGGTCTTTGATCTTAATGATCAGGGTAGGCCTGACTGCAGGGGGTGCATTTGAAGTGAGACCTGAACCCAGAAGGCTACACTTGAAAGATTCCAGGGAATCATATCTGCCCTCCCTGCCAGCCAAATTGGCAGTGAGAACAAAGGTAGAATGAGCTTGACATATTTAGGGAGATCAAGTGTTTATAGCATAATCAGTGAGGGTTAGCTGGTGTAGGACGAGGGGATTGGAGGGGTTGGGGGGAACCAGATCAGGGAAGAGACTAGGTAGGATCTTATTCAGAATACAGTGGAAAGACTGGATAAATGTAATCAGGAGACAGATGCCTTTAAAAATGTACCCCTTAACAATATCACTGTGGCAGTTATACGGTAAATGGATGTCAGAGGCTGGAGTAGAGGAAGAAAGACATGAACAGGATTCTTACGCAGCACAGGTAGGAAATAATCCTGTCTCAGACTAGCGCTTTAGGAGTACAGGTGATAAAAGTAACCACATTCAGGAGGTTTCCTGGAGAGTGGGCCGTCAAGTATTTGTAACGAATAGGTAATATGGGTAAAATAAATAAAGGGATGAATCTAAGGTGAAAAATAAGTCTTGCCTTCAGGAGCTGGGTGTGGGTTAGTGGTATTTCCCTGAGCTCAGCAACAATTGGGATGAAAGCCAATTAGACCCCCAAAATGATTTCATGTGACTTCTTTCAATTTTATACTTAGGCAAACATTTTTTTTTTCTGTGCTCCTTGTCAAACGCTCACCCCTGATTGCTACTCTTGAGTATTTTCTTAAAAGTTGTAGGAGCCTCTGTATAGCATCTAAGAAAATATTAAATGTACAAGAAAATTAAACACCTAGAAGAAGTCCTCACCTGATGGATAATGGTTGGAGTGGGCAAGTATCCCAACCTCTTGTCCTTCAGATGAACAATCATAAGAGGCATTTTCTTTCAAAGGTTCTGGTAAAATTGAGTACCCAGTGACCCATGTGAGCAATCTCACTAATATACTCTGTATTGCCTTCCCCCATCTCTGTCTCACACTCTGTTCCCTCACTCTTCCTTCATGGTGTCATCTTCCAAATAAACTAGCTGTAATTAAATCCTTGTCGTAGGTTCTGCTTTCAGGTTAAGCCAAACTAAATCCTATTGTTGCAGGACTTTTCCTTATGTCAGCTAAAGATGGGGTCCTTGTCCATTCCACGGCCACAAAGATTTAGGTTTGCAGACGGTTTGAAGGGTAAGGCAGAGTTTTATTGGGTGAAAAAGAAGAAAAGGGGGAAACAGGGACTCTCACAAAGCCAGAGTCCCTGCTAGAGCACTTCTCACCCGCCATTCAAATCTCAGGTTCCACACAGGAAGGGAAGGAGCCTGGCTCCTGCCAGCTGCAAAGGGTGTCAACTTCTGTGGCTCCGCCCCCGTGTGCAGGCTGCTTGGAGTTTCTCCAGGGACCCTTTCCCATCTTGGTGTCTCAACATACTTTTATTCAAGAAAAAAATTCCAATTCAAAAAAAAAAAAGTCCAGGGATTCAAATGAGAGGGAGAAAGATAAAAGAAAATCAAATGAGCCTCAGAAAAGGAATTCGATATGGAAAATCTGGGACCTAGAACTGTGTGTTTAGCCTGAGTATACAACTAATATGAAGGAAAACATCCTTTTTTAGATATGCGGCACTTCAGGATACGCACTTTTTTATAATCTTTCTGAAATATGGATGCATTCAGCAAAACATCAACAAAAATTAATTAAAAACTGATTAAAAAAGAGCATCAGTGTGCTCTGGTGATATTTAGGGTCTGGTTGCGATTGCTTACAACTGTAGAGTAATTGAGATATCTTAGTAGCAGTACAAGATACACATTTGAAGATCTACTTAGAGGAAATTCAAAGATCAAAGATGTCTGCCTATATTTAGTGAGGCTCAATCTGTGGTCAAGTGTCCATTTTTCTTAAGACCTGAGGTAAAAACATCGTGGGAGAAAAAAAAAATAAGCTTTTGAGACTTTGCTTTTTAGTATCTTCTGGTAGTAACAAAAAATTAAGTATTTTTTTTTTCAGATACTATTCCAATATACAGCGCATACTGCCATATCGATTTGAAAGATACAATACAAATTACAAGATAAATGCTAAATAGAAATAATAAGCTGGAGGTGGTAACTCATGCCTGTAATCCCAGCCCTCTGGAAGGCTGAGCCCAGGAGTTCAAGGCTGAAGTGAGCTATGATTGCACCACTGCACTCCAGCCTGGGCAACATAAGGAAACTGTTTCAAAAAAAAAAAAAAAAAAAAAAAACAAAAGAAAAGAAAAGAAAAAAGAAAAAATAGGAAAGAAATAGTCATCCTTTTTATTATTAATTTCAAAATAGCAATGTACTATAATATGAACTCTGCTTTGGATAGTTCTGCTACCCAGTATTAAATTTAAAAACAAATTCCCAAAGTAGATTGAGTCACACCTAACTTTATAGTGCAAAAGAGTTTTTACATATGAAAATATATTTCTTCTTTGATATCTTCTTTATCCGTAGGCAACCTACTGCCCAATAGGCTGAGAATGCAGCTCTGTGCTTCTTAACATTTAGGAAAGTTTTTTTGACAAGTAAATTGCAAAAAAGTATCTTAAGATAATTTATATTCTGTTTTTGTTTGTTTGTTTGTTCCCCAATTATAAAATGTTAGAGGAGAATGGGGCTGAAAAAAGAGGGAATACAGTGATGGAGGCAGACAAGGGGAGAAGAGGGAAGCCAGGTGGAACATGAGGATCCAGAAGGAAAAGAAAAGGAAGGAAGAGAAAGGGAAGGGAGAGGAAGAGAAAGGAGAAAGACTGTTAGTTTAAGATGTCCTCAGATTGAAAGGAAATTTTCCAGAAACACCCAGAGATATTTAGAATTCTTCCCTAATTTTCAGCTTCTCTCTGAAGGCCTGGCAGGACTGCAAAGTGTTCATGTGGTACAAGGGAGGGTTCTCAAATGCTGGATTTTGCCAAACAATTTGGTAACCCATGTGGAACGGCAGAAGACCTGAAGAAAACTCAAGGGCTTTAATAAAGGCGATAATATCTGTAACTCTTCAACTAACGACTGAAGGGATATTCAGACACTTAGGACCCAAGAAATCAAGTTCTATCCTCAAGGCTAAAGAAGACTAATGATAGTGAAGATAAAATGCCCCATCCCCCTGTTGGGAATAAATGTTTAAAATCAAGATCTACTTGTTTTATCAAAAATACATAGATGAGGCAACCTAGAAAGACCTCTTCTCTGGAAAAGAATTTTTAAAAACAATTAGGTGGGTATGGTGGCATCTACCTGTAATTCCAGTGTTTTGGGAGGCGGACGAAGGAGGATTGTTTGAGGCCAGGAGGTCGAGACCAGCTCAGGCAACAAAGCAAGACTCCAAGTCTACAAAAAATAAAAAATAAAACAAATTAGCCAGGCATGGTGGTATGTGCCAGCTCTTTGGGAGGCTGAGACGGGAGGATCGCTTGAGCCCAGGAGTATAAGGCTGCACCAGCTAGGATCACGCCACTGCACTCCAGAATGCACCTTAAAAAAATAAACAAATAAATAGGTAGATGAAATATGTTTGTATGTAGTGTTTATAAGCTAAAATTCAGGCCGGTTTAACTAACTGCCTCTTTTCTGGGCATTTAGGCATAGGAATGAAAATAAAGTGAAATCCAGGATATATGAGCCTAAAAGTGATTTTAATTTGAGTAGAAATTAGGCCAATGTGCTTTAACCTCTTCTGTGACAACAGTTCCAAATGGAGTTAAAGGCTGCTAACTGAACCATGTGTGCAGGTAGTGACTAAAATGTTTTAGTAACGATACAAGAAGTGCAGCAAAATGACAGTAGGTGTGCATTTTACCTTGTCCTTTATAGGTTTTTATTTATTTTAACTTAAACACATTTAGTAAGATATGTTGGTTCTCAGTTCTTCTAGAAGCATATGCCGAGGTGAATATTTGAATGGATGTAGTTTATTTCAGTAGTGATCCAAGAAACACTGACGAGGAATAAGGAAGTGAGACAAGGAAGGACAAAAAACCAACATTATCGCATTAGCAGACAAGCTACTGCAGTGGGTAATTGGAGCTTAATCTTTCAGGAGAACTGTGAGAGCAGATATACAACAAGCACTTCAGTTGTTCCTCCCACAGGACAAGGGAGCTGGGATGTCAGTGCTTGGCCCTCCATCAGTCATTGACTGAGGGCCGCTCCTGGGATACCTTAATGTGAGCACATCTGGTTGGCTCTGTGTGTGCTGAAAATTGAGCCCCAATAGCCAGAGAAAGCCCTCAGGCAAAAACAATGAACACTGACATTTGGAAGTCCAGCTCAAATACACTGAAGTGATAACTGTGAAGAATTAAGGAGAGCATAGGCTATATTTTGTGTCATAGATGCACCAATGTTTATTTTTCGATGCCTGCCTGCTTGATTGGTCTTAATACACCTTTAAATTCATAACTTTTGACGCCGCAACTCCTTGAGAATTGTGATTACAAATTTCTCACTTGTAAAACAATGCTAAAATGATGTTTTGTAGGAATTTTGAAGGGAAAATCAAATTCAAATGAACTTGTGTTAAATTACCATTCTGTAAGCATTTGCAGGCAATCCAAACTTCATTTGTGTGGAGGAAGAAATGTCTCAGAAATTTTCAAAACGTGAATAAGTAATTGATGAAAACAATTACTTATTTAGAAAACATATAAAAAACTTTTTTTTTCATTTTTGACATTATGAGGTTATTTGTTTAATTAACAAATTGGAAAGTTTTTATATTCTATATTTCATCTTAAGGGTTTTATACAACTTGTGTAATTGAACTAAAATTATAGGTCATTCAGAAAGTTAATAGGAGAAAGAAAGAAGTAATTCAAATTTAGTAGTCCTTGCTTCTATGGTTAATTGATTTGGAACTTTGTAGAGCAATAGACTAGGGAATAGTTCTCAAGTCCTATGCTCATTCTAGTGCCATCTAATACAATTAATACTTAGAGAAGTGAAAGAAAATTGGGTCAAATCATTTATTAAAATCTTAAAAACAAACCAAAAAATCAAATCAAATGAACAAAATGTACAATATGAATCAGTGCTAAATATATCGACTATTACCTATTTTTAAAAGTCCATTATTTACCAAGCATGTACTTATTCAAAACCCACACATGCTTACATTATTGATCTGAAGAATGTTGTACACATTTGTGATATCAAGAGAGACACAGTCTAGTGCCTTCTTTGGCTAGGCCATCTAAATGCAAATTCCAGGCATGTATCTCAAAAATCCATGTGTGATGTAATCATTTCTTTCTAGGGTTTTAAAAATATAACCCCAGTTATCTACATATTAATTTGTGCTGGTGTGTATGTAAGTGAATACTAGAAATTTCAACATTTGGATTACAAATAATGGCTACAATGATAGTATTTTAAGCCTCACTGCTTCCAAAAATAGCTTGATAAGAAATTAAGATGATCATTTAAAGCTAAAAGGTTTGATTGTAATTTCTGATCTTAACCTTGATTAAGGAAGATAAAAGAATGCCACACACTTTCATTGTATGTTGTTCTACAACATTTATTGAAATACATTGCAAAGAAAACATAATTAGAAACAAGTAATTCATTTTACAATATTAAACTAAAAAAGAAAAGTCACTGAATTTTAGAATTTGAGTAGATTTTAGAAATAATGCTTTTTGGAATTACTATTTTTGCAAGTGATAAAAGTGACCCTTCGTTTTATTGATATACCAAGCTAAAATAGTTAAAATCAGTAGCAGTGCTGACATTTGAGCACAGGAATGTGTCCTTTCTCCAGAGCTTATGCACAATATGTCATTACTTCATTAAGAATGACAAGGAATCTACTCTTCTGCAAATATCTTTAATTATGTTTTTCACCTACGAGTGTCAATATCTCTGTATACCCCTAACTATGCAGTGCTGGTGATCTAGCATCTACAGCCCTGATTACAGTCCTATTGTAAATGGAGCAGAATATGTTAAATGTTTATTGGGAACACAGCAGGGATTTTAGCTCTTTGTGGATGTGTATGCTCTAGATTATAAATAAATCCCTGCATAGCACAACACAGCAACATAACAACACTCAGCCCTCTCAGTGACCTTAAATGAAAAGCCCCAGGCATCTCTACCCAGTTACTTACTCATTCCATTTGATAGCATTCTGGCTGATAGAATGAAAGAGGAAAAAGCTTTATCTGTATACTCCACGAAAATATTATAAATGAAAAGTAGAGAAAACATGACTGTACTGGGAGTGAAATAATGGTGAATGATCCTTCCACTGAAAATCATGAATGAATAATTCTCCTAGAGAATTATTCATTAGACTAAATGTCAAAGATGCTAATATATGCTAATATATATTATATGGAGCCAGTTATATCCCAAATTCAAGTTTCTCTCTGAGTTTGTTAATCATCTCTTAAACATATATTAATCAGTTGAGGGTTTAATTTGTTTTTTTTTTTTGGTTTTAAATTTAGTTTATTTGAGTACTGGGCAGTGACTTTTGTACTACACAGTTATTGCATTCTATATGACTAAGTAAATACATTCTATACCCATAATAGTACCTTAAATGTATTAGTATAACAAGTGATAAAATATATGACTTAAAGATAGTTACTTTGAAACATGCACATATTACAAAGGTAATTAAATTTACTTGCATTTACAAAAAGATTCTCAATTGTGTGTACAAGGCTAACTTCATAATCTCATTTGAATTTTAAAAATACATTATAAGTAGTCATAATCCTCAAACATTGTGTTATATCTCAACAAAAGAATCATATTGCAATGTTTGATTTGAGAGGAGCTTGCCAGTAGCTGCAAGACATACATTTTACCTAAACCTTGTTCATTAAATACCAGTGAATATGTAAATATTTCACATACATTTTCTCTTAACATATCAAAGTCAGCACCTGCAAAATGAAGTTAAACCTTATGAAATGTAATTCAGAGTATTATAATAGAATGGCATTAGGTGAAATATGTGAGAGCATTTTGAAAATGAAAACTAGTCTGTAAATATTACCTCTAGCTAAATGCTGAAGTCATAGATAGTTAAAAAAAAATAATTCAAAGTGTGCAAAGTCCAGTAAGCAAACCCTCATTGAGAAAGATGCTTTTCAGGAAAGTAGATAAATTAATATTTTTGGTTAATCATTTATCTCCAATTCTAGTAGGATCATTGTGCTCCTGAGCTCTGGATATCTTATTTTGTGTCTCTAAGTCTACTCACTTCCAGTTCATTGATCTTGCTAGAATTTTAGGCCATAAATGAACGTAAGCGACCGTTATCACTCTTTTGGTATGACCTTGATTTTAATATGTTTTTGCTAACACATGGAATAAAACAGAGATATTTTTAAAATCTAAGTCATTTTAATATTCTTCCAGAGTCTGAAGGGATTTTAAATGTCATAAGTCACAAGTTTTCCATTTCTATAGGTGCAGAAACCACAATTTTAAGTGATTTCCTCTATATTTGGTTAATAGGTAATAGCAGGAGCAGGTTAGAAAAAAAGAGAACCATCCAAGAAATAAGATGGATGGTAGCATTAGAAAACAGGTTAAATTTCAGGATCTGCCATTTATTGGGTCTGTGATTTACAGTCTCAGTAATTTATTATCGCTCACCCTCAGATCTTAGATTTGAGAAACTATATAAATTAAAAATGCATCAAATTAAGAGAATTTTATTGCTCATCCGATGCTATGGAAACACCGTAATTTAAAATTCATTTAGAAGATTCTTTGGATGTTTACTTGTAAAGGGAAATGTTATATATTCAACTTAAATAAAGTAATTTATACAGCTGATGAGCATTTTATATTAGCTTATTTAAACTTAAAACAAAAATATTCCTAGAGATCTTTTTATTTTCCCTAGATATTCTACTTTCAGAAATAACAATTTTTCTTGAGGCCAAAGCAGTCCCATTAAGCCTAAAATATAGACTTTCATGTGAATAATAAAGAAACCTAATCATTTCACCCCAGAAAACCCTAGAGACTTCAGTTGTCAATTGACCAAATAACCAGAGATTTCTCAAAAAATTACATAAAATATAGCAAGTCTATTAATTTTGTTATATAAATAAACAATACAAGATGTGAACACATATTTTATACTTGTTTTTAATTAAAATTAATGTTGAAAGAATTCTTGGATTAAAAGTATTTGTCATTATTTTATTTTTTTTTCAATTCTCAGATTATATTGCTGTTTTACAATAGTCCAAAGTAGATAACTTAACATTTTAATCCTTCTAATATCTATGTGGTAGATATTGTACTTCTATCAATAAAATTGTTCACTCATTCTACAGCTTGTGTTTTCTCAAGTAAGGGGGGAAATGGATTGCAATAATTATTTTAAAATAGTGTTTCATCAACTCTCATGCAAAATTCTCAGCTTCCTCAAATTTCTCTCCATATAATTGTCAGTTTCCAGAACATTATTTTTAATGTGATGTCCTCTGAGCTATCTCTTGAAGTTGGCAATTTGAATATCCTGCATTTGTAGCCCAGAGGGGATGTCTATCTGCAGAGCACCTGTAACTATGAAGTTTCTTTTAGGTTACTGATAGTGAAGTAAAGCTTTGAATACCTTTTTTCATTTCAGTTGAAATCACTGTGATGTAAGCACTGACAAATCTGCTCATGGAACTGCTAAAAATGTTGTTGAAAGTCCTTTTAGTATTTGTTTGTGTTTCTGTTGAAGAATTATTTCTTCTAGATGTGAATATGAGCCCCGAGGGACATGTGATACCCTGAGTGACAGACATTCTACCCAAAAATGGCCCCTATTTTCAAGAACATTTACTGAATACAGAGAGCCCGTGTTAAATATGAGAACATACTAAATTCCTCATATTGAAAACCTTTTGATTATTCATTTGCCTAATATTCATCATGCACCCACTACAGAATTTAAAGATTACAGCTGGACAATATACTCACAAAATAACTAGAGCATAACATGATAAGGAGGGAGGGATGGCTAATACTATGCATGTAGAGTCAAGTGCCTGAGCTGTATAACTATGGACAAGTTATTTAGATTCACTAAATATCATTATCCACACCTGTACTGATGAGATGTAACATGACAATTAGTTCATATAGTTGAGATTGGGATTTAATGAAATTTTGCATATGAAACCCTTGGTGAAAGTGAAGGTGGTACATATAATATGTTTGCTATTATTTTGTTTATTATTCTCATTAATGTTTAAATCAAGAAAGTGATATTTCATTTGAATTCAAAAAAACAGATAATTTTCATATATAGAGTAATTGAAAGCAAAAGGAAAAGCATTGATTAAACAATGTATGACAGAAAAATAAAATACAAACTTAAAAAGGAATTCAACTCCCTGTTCCAGTTTTTGCTAATCATTCCAAAGGTCCTTCAAAATGAATACATGGAAAGGAGAAGAATCATAATTTCAGAGGAATACATATATATATAATAAAAATATATATGTCATATATAATATATAATATATGTCATATATAATATATAATATGTCATATATAATATATATATAAGTATATATAAATATATATTATATAATACTTATTATCTCTCACCCTCATATCTTACATGTGAAAAACTATATAAATAAAATTGCATCAAATTAAAAGAATTTTATTGCTCATCCCATACTATGGAAGCACCATAATTTAAGATTCATTTAGAAGATTCTTTGCATGTTTACTTGTAAAAGGAAATGTTATATATTCAACTTATATATATATATTTATTATATATCATATATCTATATAAATATATATCATATATTTATAATATATCATATAATATATAATTATAATATATATAACTAAATCTCTTGATTTATTTAACCTTATAATTCAGGTATAAATTATCATCTCCAAATCAGAATGAGCTAGAAAACAATAAGGCACAGATTTCAAATTTATCCAAACCACTAGGAAACCTTGGATTTTAAATGAGATCACAGCAATTATGCATAGAAAGATTGTTCATTGAAAAGGCACATTGCTTCTGCTGGCTCTATTCCAGCAGACATGCCTAATGGGAGTAATGTGGCTTTCACAGATTCGGAAAATCAAGATTTTCTTAGTTTGTATAAACACTGAAACTTTTCCAGGACAATACAAAATAAATGTGCATATGACATGATACGAAATACAACATTACAGTCCAAATTGCTTTCAGAACACCATTAAAAATAACTGTTTTTAGGCCTAACGTATTGGCTTACATCTATAATTCCAGCATTTTCAGAAGTTGAGGCAGGAGGATCGTTTGAGCCCAAGAGTTCATGACCAGCCTGGGCAGCATAGTGACACCTTGTCTCTCCAAAAAAAAAAAAAAAGTTTTTAAATTAACCAGAGCCAGGTGCAGTGGCTCACAGCTATAATCTCAGCACTCTGGGAGGCCAAGGCAAGGCAATTGCTTGAACTCAGGATGAGTACTTCGTGGTACATGCCTGTGGTTCCAGCTACTCGGGAGATTGAAGTGGGAGAACTGTTTGAACCTGGGAGTTTGAGGCTAAGTGAGCTATGATCATGCCACTGCACTGCAACCTGGGCAACAGAGCAAGACACCGTCTCAAAATAAATAAATAAATAAACAGACAAAAAAATAAATAACTACCCAGATGCAGTAGCACACATATGTATTCCTAGCTCCTCAAGAGGCTGAGATGGAAGGACTGCTTGAGCCTGGGCGTTCAAGGCTGCAGTGAGCTGTGATCATGCTACTGCGCTGCAGCCTGGGGAATAGAGTGAGATCCCATGTCAAAAATAGTCGAAAACAAAAACAGAAAATAATTCTGCTATTACAAGCAAATAAATAGTTTTATGCAGGATCTTTTCTATGCAAAACTTTTTGGTGCAATATTGCTGTGATTTGGTGCAATATGCTATGATTCTGAACTCGAAATAAATTATGGCATATTTCCATTTGGGGAACTGAACACTTAAACAATATTATATAGCTATCAATTTAGCTTACAAAGAGCTGCCAGATAGAATTTACATAATGTTTCCAGAGACAACCTTGTCAGTTAATTCTGGCAAGCAAACCAATTAGGTAACAAAGATGGACAGTTCAGCCAAAGAAGAGAAAAATGATTTTTCCCATGGCAGAATACTCATCTTAGCAAAGAAAGTATATAGAAAACTTGATGTCAGAAATATTACAAAGTTAATGATTTCTCCTTTTTTAACTCACATTCAAATGTTCTAGAAAGTCATCTTTAATATTACTTAAATTAGGAAACCAATTAAGTTTTTATATGTATATCAAATGTACTTTTAAATAATATTTAAAAATTAAAATAATTTGCATTCCTTAGTAAATACATAGAAATGAATAAAACTGGAAAAACTAGAGAGAAGCAGAGCCCAAGATAACAAAGCTTTAATTTTTCTATAGTTTATTTAATTGATAAAATGTATACATAGTTTTCTACATATTAATGTATGGCTGGTCAATAAAACATAGAAAATCAATACTTTCCAGAAAGATATGTATTCTGGTGGAGAATGAGAAATATGTCAATCAATACAAACATGCACGCACACACACACATGTGCAGATCCATACCAAAATATATACCACATATTCCACATATTTTATGCAAATATATCTGGCAAATATGTGGTATATACTTTTGACAACTATATCTTATCAGCCAAAAGTATACACCACATATTCTAGGCAAATATATCTGATAAGATTGGCTAATTTTAGGCAAATCTACTCAATAAAACTGTAGTTTTGATAGAATTTCCAAAATAAAAATAGAACAATTTTGTTGTTAATTTAAAATTTTTCTGAAAACAAAATAAGAATATGCCTTACACCTAACACAACACACAATAATACTTTCAAAATGTCATTAGTTCTTCTTGGCATTCAGGCTCCCAACTAAGCATGTTCAGCAATGCAAATAAATAAGGACAATTATCCTTCATTACACATGTTCTTGAAAGTTCTAATCTAGTGGAATAAAAGCCTTGTACTTAAAATATATATCTGCGTGCCTTCATTCATAATTACAGGGAGATACATGTTATTTCTATTTTGAGTTCAATGTTTCACTGCACAAATAGAAACATCAATGCATATGAAAGCTATCATAATAGAAACTCATTTACATATAAGATGGTTCCAGAAAGTTAAAAATGTCATGAGGAGAAAGATGAGGAAAAGATCAAGCTTAAATTCCTTTTCACTGAATTTGAGTAAGCTCATATTATTCCTCTGATTGTAATTATATATTATTGTCTGTAATGTATCACAATTTCCAGTAGGATTACTTTTTTTTCCATGTTACGTTTGTGTGAATTATACTGTTTCTGAACTTTGATTTTTACCTTCCTTAAATTATAATCAGAAAGAGTGGACTTACATCATGAAATATTCATATTTACATTGGGCAGCATCATTGGATGAGCACATGAGCTCATATTTACTTGTCTCCTTCAAACCCAGTTTTGTTTTGTAAACAAAATCTAAAAGTAACTGGAAAGTAGCATATCATTCTGGTTAAAGGTCTGGTAATTGGAGTCAGACAAACTTACTTTCCAAAGTTTGCTGTGATCCTTAATGGCTATATAGAATTTTTCAATGTAATTGAATTTGCCAAGATTTATCCCTTCATAAACTGTTCCTTATATGAAAATATTGGGATAATAACTATTTCCATTTAATAATCTTGAGAAAAAAGAACAAAGATGGAAGCATATCACATCCTGATCTCAAAATATATTACAAAGCTACAGTAATGAAACAGTATGGCACTGACACACACACACACACACACACACACACACACACACACACACAGAGACACACAAAGACAGACATAAAAACCAATGGGACAAAATGGAAGTCCAGAAATAAATTCATGCACGTAATGTCAATTGCTCTTAGACAAAGGTGCCAGGAACACACAATGGGGAAATGACACTCTCTTCATTAAATGATGTTTGGCAAACTGGATATCTACATGCAAAAGAGTAAGTCCAGACCCTTATCTCACCCCATACACAAAATTCAACACCAAATGGAATAAAGACTTAAACTTAAGACCTGCAACTGTAAAACTCCCACAAAGAAATATGGAGGAAGAGCTTTATGACATTGGTCTTGGCAACTGTTTCTTGGATATGACACCAAAAGCTCAGGCAACAAAAGGAAAATAGCAAGCCAAGTATCTGATAAGGAAGTTAGTTTTCAAACTATATAAAGAACCTCTACAAGTAAGGAAAACAAAGAAACAACCTGATTAAAGATGGGAAAACGACATAAATGGGTATTTCTTAAAAGAAGACATACCAATGGCCAAGAGATATATGAAAAAAATGCTCAACATCATTAATTATCGGGCAAAAGTAGTTGAAAACTACAGTACAATGAAATATCACCTCACATATGCTAGGAAGGTTATTATGAAATAGAAAATATAATAATTGGTGAGAATGTGAAGAAACTGGAATCCTTGTATGCTGTTGGTGGGAATGTAAAATGGTTTGGCAGCTATGGAACATAGTATGGATGTTCCCAGAAAAGTTAAAAATGAAACGACGGTATGATCCTGCCATCTTTCTCCTGGGTAAATATGCAAGGGAATAGGAATCAGGATCTCAAAGGGATATCTTCATGCCTATGTTTACTGCAATGCACCATTATTCACAATAGCCAAGACATGAAAACTGTCCAAGTGTCCATGGGCCAATGAATAAAAATAGATAAAGAAACTGTGGTATCTACACATCATGGAACATAATTCATCCTTAAAGAAAAAGGAAATCTATCCTTCCATTTGTAGCAACATAGTGGGACCTGGATGATATTATGCTAAGTGAATTCAGTCAGTCACAGAAGAAAAATGCTGAATGATTCCACTTATAGAAAATATATAAAATAGTTAAAATTATAGAAGCCAGAAATAGAATGTTGGTTTTCAGGGGCTGGGTGGTGGGAGAAATGGTGAGATGTTATTCAACCGGTATAAAGTTACAATTATACAACTGAGTACGATCCCAATATCTGTTGTAAAAAATAGTGCCTACAGTTAACCAAGGTGGTACTGTGTATTTCAAAATTTGCTAAGAGCGTAGATTTCATGTCGTGTTCTTACCATAGAAACAAAACAAAAAGACATAAGGAAACAAAACAAAAAGACATAAGGAAACAAAAAGAAACAAGAATACTTTGGGAGGTGTCGGATATGTCTACTTCCTTGATTGTGGTGATGTCATCACAGCTGTTTGCATATGTCCAAACTCATCAATTTGTACACTTAATTAAATAAGTACAGTTTTGGTTATCAATTATATCTCAATAGAGCTACTTTTTTTCTTTTAAATGTGTGTATAAATGTAATCACCTTTTTCCATACTTAGAGAATGTATATTCAAGATTTAATGATCAGGGAGATGAAATGGCTCAGACTGAGGTAAGTGAGACAAAACCAGATATTAAATAAACAGAAATAATAATATATTAAATAAATAGAAAAGGCAAGCTCTGGGATGGAGGTTGGGCAGGACAATGAGAGTAAGAAGAAACACAAATTGAGAAAAGGACACAGTTGAAAACGGAGACTCAAACAATAGAAAAAAATCCAACTATTCATGTATATCAGATATAGCAGGATTTAACAGAAATACAGCTCAAACTTTTGAGTTAGACAGATATGAGCTCTATTCAATTGACAATTCAATTATTCGATTCAATTCTTATTTGTGTAAATGTGGTAACCACTCAGTCCACTCAATTGTAAAATTGAAGAAATAATATTCTCTATGGTTCTTAACATATGATAATTATTGGTATAGATATTTTGTAGAGATACAGGCAAGGGAGGATCTAGAGTTTGTGGTTTCTGAAGCATATGCAATTTGTGGAGTCTTCTTAGAAAAAGAATTCAAAATTAATGTTACTAGCTTACATAAGAATAAAAGTTTAGCATGAGAAAGTAAATCACCACCAATTACAAATACCACAAAATTCATATAGTTCGGAAAAATAACAAAACATTTTTATTAATAAACAGCTCAACACAAGAGTAGAATATATTTTTTCTAAAATATTGGTGGCATATTTCATGACTACTTCAAAGGACAATGATTTCATAATATAATTTTCTATATAAATTACAGAAAACTAGTTTTCTCTTTCCTCTAGCATGCTTGTTAAAATTTGTTACATTTATTACTATTATTGTTATCAAAGAGAAGCAAGTTTAGAAAGTGTTCAATTCAGGTTCACAGGTTAATACTGAAATCATTATCAAATATTCAGGCTTATTGTTAAATTTGGGAAAACTATTACCAGATTTCTTCCACTTAGACTACAAAACAACAAGTCACTGCAAATTTCCATTTGGGGTGACTTCTTATATACTGGCTGAATTGATGCTACTAATTAGCCAGTTTGTCACTGATGCTCTGATAGTGTTATTTGTATTATGAATTGTCTATTATCTTTGTCAATGTCAGTATTTTGTGTCAAACAAACAAGAAACAAATCTTTGGCCAATGAGCTGACACAACACAATAATAAGTTGTAATATATAAAACGTGTGATCTCACACTCAGACGTACTCAATATTTGTTTTAATGATACCAACTTGTGCCCTATAAATACGAGGCTTCTGACAAATTCTACTTTATACAATGCCCCCACAAAGAAAAATATCTATTTTTTTTTCTTATCTGGCATATGATGCATTATAGTGTATATGCCTGACTGAACGTTTCTTCCTTTTTGATTAGACATCAATAAGAACCAATCTTTTGCATATTGTTTTATATTCCTGATGATTAGTATAATTTTTCACAGACTATCTTCTGGCTCCAAACATGTGGAATCTTGTTTCTTCTATTTAATCGACTCCTCATAACTGATGCTAGGCAGTTTGTTGTATCACGTTGATGTTGTGATATTTCTCCTAGCCCTACTTCTCATGCACAATAGCGATGGACTAGGGATTGTGGGCAATATAATTACTTCTGAAAGCACTCCCAGATTAAACAGAGAGTAAAAATTTGATTTTCTGTGGAAGTGTCTGTGATACAGAAAAATATTTATTCCACAAAATCCAGATACTTCTTCTGAACCAGATCCTAAAATTATCTGGAAGCACTGTAGCACCATCGACAGTAGGAAAGGTGGGATGGAGAACAAATAAGAGGGGTAACAAACTTGGTTTAAGCAAATGCAAATAAAATATTTTAAAACATAGAAACTGTTACAAAAACATAGGACCCGATATAATAGTCAGCTCAGTATTCCATAACAAAATATCACAGACTGGGTGACTTCACAGAAATTAATTTTCTCAAAGTTCTGGAAGCTGGAATTCCACTGACAGAGGTGCTAACCAATTCTGTTTCCAGTGAAGGCCTCTTTCCTGGTTTGCAGATGGCCGCAATCTCACTATGTCCTCATGTTGCCCTTTCCTCAGCGCGGGTGCATGAGGAGAGAGAGCTCTCTGCTGTCTCTTCTTATAACAACATTATTAGATCAGTGTCCAACCTTATGACCTCATTTAACCTTAGTTACTTTCCCATAGGTTCTGTCTCCAAATACAGTCACATTGATGGTTAGGGCTTCAGTGAATTTATGGGAGGTGAAGGTAGGGCACAATTCATTTTATGAAACCATTCTTAATACCTCTCCTAGGGTCTTGTAGGGAGTTTATGTAAATGAAAATCTTTAAATCTTAAACTTCTTCAGCTTGAGCTAATGCCAGTGGTCACCCATGGGTTCTACCATTTCATGAGCATGCTGCTCATGTGCCTATCTTAATTAATTGTTATTAATAGTGCAATTTTAATTTTATTAAGCTTATTATTTTAAAAATGAAAACTCTAAAATGCATAATATTTAACATAGAAAATCTATTAGTCACTTTGCCTATATTAAAATCTATGTTTACATCTTTTTAAATACATACATACATATATATGCATTTCAAAAGTTATATTTACAAATAAACCAATAAATTAGGTAATAAATTATTCAACTGTAAACTTTCTTAGCTTAAAGTAATGGTCTCAGTCATGGTTTCATATATAAAGATGTAGTATTTTCTATATGTGCATAGATTACTTCAAAAATAATCAGATTGTATAAAGAAAATATAATTTTGTAAAAGTCCATAATCAAATCTAACAATAAAAATATTTGCTACAGTTTAATATTATTTTCAACTATCTGTAATGTTTTGAAAAAGTTATTTTGATAGTTATAAATACAGAAAATTATTGTTATATATGTCTTATTTTAAATAAGTTATGCTTGGAGGAGTCTATAAACATGAATAAAAATAAGTATTCTGTAGCAAAAATTTTTTCTATAAATAGGTATGAAAATGAATATTTTTTTCCAGATCTAATTTTCAAATTATAAGTTCATTTATTGTTGCTATTAGTAATAATATTAGGGAACAATTTAAGCAAAGTCATTAGAAAAATTATCCAGCTGTCATAATAGAACTGTGAATAAATAAGAAATTAAGTGACAAAATAAATAGAAGTGAGAAATTGAGAAAGCTGAAGATAACAAAGCAAAACAATAAAAGAACAAGTGCTTTAGACTTCTGTGCAGAAATCTTAAGAAGTATATAATTAGAATACCAAATCTATTTGGCATCTAACTGTCAATTAAAGTAAATAAAAGGGTAAGATTTAAAATTGAGTGTCTCCAATAAGTGTTTAATTTAGATTTAATATGATAGTAAAAGCTGAAAATGAAAAACAAAAATGCTTTCAATTAAAGAACTGACAGTTCATATTTAATTCAGATATTGTGACTAAATAGTAAAACAGCTGTTCTCTTAAATCTATTTTCTACAGATATCTGGAGAGGTTTATATTTAGAATGCTCAAAATTTTTTTAAAAGTGTAATTCATGTATAAAATTTTTCTGCCATAATTATTATTTAATGAATATATTAAAATATATTACTAGATTTTGTTGGAGATATATGTGTGTAGATATGTGTATACATGTATACATATATTTATATGTACAGATACACAATTCCCCATTTTTTTATACATAGAATTTCAGGTTCTTCAACAAATGAGTTAATTTTTCTCTTTTCATCCTCTAGAGACACTTATTCATAAGTATTTTTTGTGTAAAGTGTATTCAGAAGGTCTTACACACTTTAAATAATTTAGTTCCTTCATTAAAAAGTCTATGCTCAGCCAGGCGTGGTAGCTCACACCTGTAATCCCAGCACTTTGTGAGGCTGAGGCGGGCAGATAACCTGAGGTTGGGAGTTCGAGACCAGCCTGACCAACATGGAGAAACCCTGTCTCTAATAAAAATACAAAATTAGCTAGGCATAGTGGTGCATGTCTGTAATCCCAGCTACTCGGGAAGCTGAGGCGGGGGATCACTTGAACCCTGCAAGGGGAGGTTGCAGTGAGTCAAGGTCGTGCCATTGCACTATAGCCTGGGCAACAAGAGCAAAACTCCGTCTAAAAAAAAAAAAAGAAAGAAAGAAAAATATGCCAAAAAAAAATTCTTCATGTTTTCAAATTGTAACTTGTTATACAGCATACTACTATCTAGTTGCCTACCCATGTGTGAATATTTATAGAAAATAGTTTATATTTCTCACTCTGTGTGTGTGTTTGTATATATCCAAATACATAGTTCCCCCATGTTAAATAACTATAGGGCTACTATAAGTAGCATCTGCCTATTTTAAAAATTACTATTTAAATAACAGTAAAAGAATCTGCTATTGGTATGGAGGATTGAGTGCTTCAACAAAGAAAAGCCCAAGGAGAAATGCCTTCTCTGTTTTAATCAAGGCTTTAAAGGAAATTAACATCATTACTTCTCATATTACTCTATAAAATAAAGATGAGAAAATACTTTCCAAATTATTTTATGAGGCCAGTATTACCCTGTCATCAAAGCCAGACAAAGACATCACAAGAAATAAATACTACAGACCAGCATACCATATAAATATAGATACAACTATCTTCAACAAAACACTAGCAAACAAAATCCAGCAGCATATTAAAACATTATACACTATGATCAAATAGAATTCACCACAATAATGCAACATAGGCACAAAATATGAAATCAATCAAGGTAATATCTGATATTAGTAAAATAAAGAAAAATAATTATCTCAATTGATTTTTAAAAATAGACAAAATATACACTTTAACATGAGAAAACATTCATCAAAGTAGAAACGGAAGAAAACTTTCTTTATCTTGTTAAAGTGTCTCCAAAATCCCACAGCTAACATTATATATAATATTGAAAAAAGCTTTCCCCACTAGATCAGGAATAAGACAAGAGTGTCCACACTTGCCAATTCTATTCCACATTATACTAGAAGTTCTAGCCACATAAATTGGACAAGAAAAATACATAAAATATATTCCTACTGGAATCAAAGAAGTAAAATTATCTCAATTCACATTTCATTTATGACTTTATTGATAGAAAACCTTAATAATACACATACACAGGATTCTATAAGCCTTAATAAAGAAGTTCAGCAAAGTAGCAGATACAAGCTCAATATGACAATCAGTTTAATTTCTGTACAATGATCATGAACAATCTATAAAAGAACAATTTCATTTATAATAACATAAGCAAGTGTGTAAGTATATAGTTAACGAAGGAAGTGTAAGATATAAAACATTGTGAGAAATTAAATAAGACCAACAAATGAAAAGTCATCTCTTATTCATTGATTGGAAGATATAATGTTGTTAAGATAGCAAGCCACTAAACTGACCTACAGATTCAATGCTATCCCTAATCAAAATTGCAACAGCCTTTTTGGCCTACAAGCTGCTCTTGAAATGCATATAAAAATACAAGGGACTGAATAGCCAAAACAGTTTCTAAAATAAAAACAAAATTGTAGGACTCAGATGTCTGATTTCCAAACCTAATACAAAGCTGCAGTAATTAAAGCAGTGTGGCACTGGCATAAGGATAAGCATATAAATCAATGGATTATAATTGAAAGTTCAGAAGTAAACACATCAGGGAGGTATGATTATTCAATAAGGGAAGAATAGTCTTTTCAACAAATGGTGCTGGGACAACTGGACATCTGCATGGAAAATAAAAAAGTGGACCACTACCACATACTATATACAAACGTTAGCTCAAATGGATGAAAGATTTAAATGTAATACATAAAAATCTTAGAAGAAAACGTAGGTGTAAAATTTTGTGATCTTGGATTAGGTAATGGCTTCTTAAATATGTCACCAAAAGAACAAAGATAAAAAGAATTAAATAAATTGGATGTCATCGCAATTAGAAAACAAAACAAAAACTTGTGTTACTCAGAGGACCCTATCAAAAAAGTAAAAATGGCCAACTTATAGAATGAGAGGAAATATTTGTAAATCGTGTATCTAATAAGTTTTTAGTATCTAAAATATATTTTTACATCATGTGTACTAAAATAATAAAATCATTAAAAAGAAAATAATTTAACAGATATTTCTGCAAAGAAAACACACATATGACCAGTAGACACAGGAAAAGATATTCAACATCATTGGTCCTTACAAAAATGCAAACAAAACTGCAATAAAAATACCACTTTACACCTACCAACATGACTATAACCAAACCAAATCTAACCAACCAAGCAACCAACAAAAAATATAAAAAATCTACTGTAGGCAAAGATGTGGAGAAACCGCAACCTTTATACCACTGCTAGTGGAAATGTACAATGCAAATGCCGCAGCTGCTGTGAAAAACTTTCTGTCAGTCCTTCAAAAATGTAGGCAGAACTTACAATATATCCATGCATTTCACTGCTAGTCTGGTATCCTAGGGCACTGAAACCATGTTAACATGCAAAAAGTGGCATACACACTTTTAAGAGAATTTCACCAAGTTCTAATATTTACATGATTTGAGTCACAAAGGAAGAAGAGAAAAATAAAATTGTGGCCAACGTTTTCCAACTCTGGCAAAAGACATAAAGTTATAGATACAAGAAAATTCCCAAATGAGAGGAATTCAAAGAGAATCATCCTAGGCACATCATATTTAAACTTCTAAAAACCAAAAATAATAAGACAAATCTTGAAAATAGCCAGTAATTTTAATTACCACAAATGTAGAAACTATGGTGACCACAGACAGAGGGACAACAGCTTTAAGAGACAGAAGAAAAAAATAAAAATAAAGACTTTCAATGGGTAATTCTGTATTCCTTTAAATCTCCTTCAAAAGTGAATTTAAAATAAAAACATTTTCAGAGAAAGAAAAAAATAAGAAAATTTGCTGTCACTAGACATGCGATACAAGAAATGCTAAGGGAAGCTTTTCAAGCTGAAGGGAAATATACAGAAGGGAAAATCTGTCCACCAAAATAAGAAAATGAAGAGCATCAGAAATAGTAAATATAGTTTTAAATATACAATAATATTTTTAATATTTATTTAAAATTTACATGACTGTTTAAAGTAAACATTTTAACACTTTTTTTGTGGGAGTAAGATATATGTGGTAGCAATACATATGACACCTATAGTATAAAGGTTGATATGGTGGATAAATGAATTTACATCATTGAAGGTTATCAGTAAACATACTACATAAAAAGGTACACAATAAATATTAATCCCTAAGTAAATCCCTAAAAGATATAATGCAAAGAGGCTGAGCTGAAAGGTCAATAGAAAAGTTCAAAAGTTAAATTTTAGGGCTGGGCGCGGTGCCTCACGCCTGTAATCCCAGCACTTTGGGAGGCCGAGGCGGGTGGATTACAAGCTCAGGAGATCCAGACCATTCTGGCTAACAAGGTGAAACCCCGTCTCTACTAAAAAAAATCCAAAAAGTAGCCGAGCATGATGGCATGCTCTTATAGTCCCAGCTACTCCGGAGGCTGAGGCAGGCGAATTGCTTGAACCTGGGAGCAGAAGGTTGCAGTGAGCTGAGCTCGCGCCACTGCACTCCAATCTGGGTGAGAAAGGGAGGCTCGTCTCAAAAAAAAACTACATAAATAAAAATAATAATTTTATAAGTGTCCAAATAATTTTAAAAAGCCAGAAGTGGGACAGAGAGGAACATAAAATAAAAAGAGCAGTCAGAAAAAAAAAAAGCAGACCTAAATTCAACCATGTAAATATTTTCATTAAATGTTAGCAAACTAAGCACTTCTAATGAAAGGCAGGTATTATAAGAACTAATTTAAACATTTCATAATTCGCATTCATTTAAGCATTTCTTAGTCTTTGCACCACTTGAATATCCACCAGCTTCTTCATTGTGTCCTCTCATATTTGGTGGTCAGAACTGAGCCCTGAATTAAGAGGCACTGTAACTGAGCCAAAAACATTGAGTAAAAATTAACAGAGGATGTCAGCACTCGGGATGGGGAGGGAGCATGTTAATTTACAAGTGTTGACTCTCTCTGAAGAAATATATTAAAAGTTGTGTTTTTATTTGTTTTCATACTTACGTTTGTTTTTCCTCAAAATGTTTTCAACCAAAACAAAAAAGAAAACTGTTAAATAATAATATTATTCAGCTAAATTTCTTGACATAAATTGCTATGACTATAACTTGAGTAACAAAAATTCTTTCCTTTACTTTATCTGTCTAAATAAAGCCTATTATTTAGAGTATGTAGAGATTTTTTTTTTTTTTTTTTTTTTTTTTTTTTTTTTTTTTTGACGGAGTCTCGCTCTGTCGCCAGGCTGGAGTACAGGGGTGCGACCTCGGCTCACTGCAAGCTCCGCCTCCCGGGTTCAAGCAATTCTCCTGCCTCAGCCTCCCGAGTAGCTAGGACTACAGGCGTGTGCTACAGGCCCAGCTAATTTTTGTATTTTTAGTAGAGACGGGGGTTTCACCATGTTGGCCGGGATGGTCTCGATCTCTTGATCTTGTGATCCACCCACCTCGGCCTCCCAAAGTGCTGGGATTACAGGCATGAACCACCGTGCCCCACCAAGTGTATGCAGAGATTTTAAAAAATATTTTTCATCGAAGATTAAATAAAACATACACTAAAATCACATCATGTTGGTAAATAAAGTATTTCTGGGGAAAAAATATCCTGTGCCTCCGACATTGATACATTGTCAAGTGGAAGTGAATCTAGGAAGTGATTTACTACATCAATGATAATTTGATCACATCAGGAGATCGTTAAGTATGTATTCTGGTAGCTAAGAGGATTTGGCTCTTAAACTTGGAAGCCAATACTGTGATGACAAATAACAGACCTTGTATATCCAAGTTCCCACAGAGAATTCAATTGCTTTCTATACATTTCTGAATAATAACGGTATATTGAAAGTATTTTACTTAAATGAACAACCAAGTTGTGAATTCTATCACATGGTGATTTTGTACAGGGTTAAAGATGCACAATTTACACTGTAATAATTTCAAAAACGGGTCTATAAATATTCATTTTCAGTTAGCCACTATTCAGAGAATTAAGCTAGTCACTCTAAGAATGTGTTTGAAAAACTATTGCTGAATTTATTACTGAGTGATTAGTTATGTTATTAGAGGAGTGCTGAGTTTCAGTCATTGAAATTTAACACACTTCTGTAACCCATTGCTGAGAGTACTTCATTTCATTCCCATAGAAACTGATGCTTCTTTGACAAATAGGCTGTAAGTAGCTTTTGACAAATGAGTGTTAGAGTTTTAAGCCTTTGCTGTTGGTGGAAATTTTAAGCATAACAATATAGTTCAGATGATATTTTTCCTATCCTAAATTTGGTTTCATTGTAACTACTAAAAACTGTTTTATATGACAAATATTCCCAATAAAACAAGTTTTTAGAAATAAATACTTGGTATTTTATACTGCACATGAAATGGTATAATACAATTGACAGGTAGATTGTAATAAAAGCAGGATGCCTTTTGTAAACTCTAGGGCAAAATAAAAGATATAAAAAGTTTTCAAATAATAAGCCAATAATGTAGGTAAAATGGAATCATAAAAATTTAAATAATACAGTACAACCAGAAAATGAGGAAAAAGTAACAAAAAACAATGGACCAACCAGTGAAATCACAAGAGAAACAACCAGTAAGGCCGTAGATATATTTTAATATATCAATAATGACATTAAATTAAAATGTTGGAAACATCCTGATTAGAAGACATTATTGGAAGGCATCCTGATTATTACCAGATTGGGTAAAAAAATCAACATCCACTTATAAAGGGGGTCAATTTGGCAAGAGGATCTACAAATCCAAAATATTTATTCACTTAATAACATAGCTTCAAATATATGAAACAAACTGATAAAATCATATGAAGAAATAAAAGAATCCACAATCATAGTCAGATATGTCAGTATCCTCTCCCTGTAATATATCCTTGGCCCATTATAAAAGTCTTAACATAGTTAAAGAGATAAAAGTCTACATAGTACATTCTCTGATCACAGTGGGATTTAATTAGAAAAAAACAACAGAAAGATATCAGGAAAATTCCCTAATATATAGAAATTGAAAAAAATGCTTCTAAACAGAACATATGTCAAAGAAGAAATCAAAAATAAAATTAAAAAGTACATATTCTGAACAAACAAAAATGAAATACAACATACCAAAATCTACAAGATATCTGTAAAGCAGTACTCAGGGAGATATTTATAACACTAAACATTAGAAAACAAAATTATGTACACTCAATGAACTCAGCTTCTCCTTTAAGAATTTAGAAAAACACAAGAAGAAATAAGAAAATGGCAGAAATCAAACAAGTAATTAATGAAATAGAAAAACAGAAAATTAACAGAGAAAAATCCTCAAAATAAAAACTTGTTTGAGAACATCAGTAAAGTTGATAAACCTCTAGTCAGACTAATATAGAAAAAAAGACAAATGGAAATTTATTATAACAACACTAAAGGGTAATTAAGGAATACAAGAAACATAATATGCCAAAACATTGACAACTTAAGTAAAATAAAAAATTCATTGAGATAAAACCTACTAAAATTGATAAATTGGATTACTTCAAAATAACTTTTGTGTATTAGGGACTCAATTAATAGAGTGAAAGACCACCCACAAAATGAGAGGGAATATTTGCAAATTATTTATCTAATAAGAGGTTACTATCCAGAATATTAAAAAAAAAACTTCTGCAACAACAAAAACACACAATAAACTAATTGGAAAATGAACAAAGGACTTGAATAGATGTTTTATCAAAAGAAATATGAAAATATTAAGTGTATGAAAAGATGTTTGATACCCCTAATCATTAGGACAATGCAAGTAATAACCACAATGAGATATCAACTAAAACCTATGAGGGTGTCTACTGAAAAAACGAAAACAAAAACAAACCAGAAAATAACAAGTATTGGTGAGGATGTGAAGAAATTGTAACCCATTATGCACAGTTGCTGGGAATGTGAAACACTGAATTATCTATGGTAGTTCCTCAAAAGTTAAAACTACAATATGACCTAGCAATTCTTTGGGGTATATAACCAAAATTACTGAAAACGGGTACTTGAAGAGATACTTGTACAACAATCTTCAAAGCAGAATTATGTGCAATTGTCAAAGGTGGAAGCAATCCAAACATTTGACTACGAATGAATAGATAAGCAAAATGTGGTATATATTTATAAGAAAATATTATTCAGATTATTACAAAAGAAGGCAATCCTAACACATGCTGCAGGTTTGGACTTTCAAATTGATCAAATTTATAAAGTGATTGTTCCAAAGATGTCACTCTACTTCAGGATTACACAAATATATCATGAAAATAATAGTGATATAAGTAGTAAAAACATGCTCTCAGTTTAAAATCTCAAAATAGTCAAAAAATTATAAATCACACACACTCCAAACAGAAGTTGGCATTGTAAATCACCATAATTTGGGTAAAGACAGAGAAACTACAGAGTAAATATAAACCCTAAGAGTGAAAGAAAATGAAATGTTATTTCAAATACTGTAATATATTGCCTATTTATTAATCCTAAAGTTTCATTCTTACATTTATCTAAAGCTAGTTAAGTCACTGACATTTTAGAAGGGTTACCTTCTAAATAATTATAATCTGTAATATAACTAATATATACATACATACACTGAGAGAGAATATACTCATAATGATCATTATATAGTCATGTTAATTGTATCTGCCTTTGAAGAGTATGAATTAGTATTTTATAATGTTTTAAACATTGTGTCAATGATTTTACTCATAATCTTCTGGTAGAAAATCATTATTTTTATTGTGTAATACAGGTGAAGAAACATACACGTTTAATGCCTCAGCTAATGATATAAAGAAAGTTGCGGCAGGGGTCAACAATTACAATTTACTTGGGGATGTAACTTTCAAGCTGCTGTTTCACATTGACCTCTGGAAGAAAATCAATTATATAGAGATTACTGGCTTAGAGAATGTCAATGCAATGAAGTTTAATTCATCATTAAACCTGTACTGTCTGTTTTACTAGTCTATTGTTTACTGTGAGTAGTAATGCAGCATAAAAACCACATCTGGAAAATAAGGAAAGGTTTATTGGAATACATACTAGAAATTAGTAATATGCCTACTGAAATGCCTTCCTATCAGACCGAATACATTTTTCTAAAAGATTTCAATTTATTGAATGAGACTGAAGAAGAAAGTAGAAGAGATAATCATTCTATTGTACTAAATGTTATGTGCTATTGTTATAAGTTCTGGAACTGCATTAAAACACTCAGGGAAATAAGCTGTCTCAATGAAGAATAGTGGATTCAAATGCAGCTGGAGTGACAAAAAGAGGTAGCTAAGTTTTCCATTTCTAAGCAATTTACTGTCTGACAAAAAGGCATGCACATATATATATATATATATATATATATATATATATATATATATATATATATATTTGGTGGGAATTGTTCTGTAGCTACATACAGAACTCCAAATCCAGTAAATCCTCTTACAAAGAAGAACATATGACAATAAACACAATTCGGTCAACTAAAAATATTGGCTAGAGACATAAAATTTATTCTCAAGAGAGTACTTCTTGTGACTTTCAACAAAATGTTAATAAACTAGAATTTTTCCTTTTAATTCTTCCTCCCAAAATTCATATCATTTGTACAGTGTTAACTTGGATTTCTCACCTGTACATAGAACAAATGCAGGGATTAAATTTTTTGTAAGAGACATTTCTTCTACCACAGCATAGAGGCATAGGACAGACTTTCTGGTACCTTCTTAAATACACAGGCAGATCGTTCTCTAGTGTAAGTTTTATTAGAGGACAACTATTATTGGATTATGAAGCTTTTTTGGAGTGATTTTGGTTTTAGTTTCTGAACTCATTTGGGTCCAAGGTAACTCATACCTCCTGCTCTCTATAGGAACTGTATTAAAAACTAGCCATAGCAAATAGGACTTACACTAGGTAAGATATCTATCCTGTCTTCCAACTAATTCATGGCATTATCTTCTCCTGCTTTAACTTATCATATTTGGTTTCATTATCTGGGACTTAGTTTTAGCTTGATGTTATATTATCAAATAAGGGAGTATTTGCATGTGCTAGGTTCAGTATATTTTCAATAAATACACAACTTCCTATTTTTCTTCTGAGTGTGATTTAAAGATATCTTTTTGAGATAATCTGCATGACCACCTCCTTGGATCACACATTCTTATTCAGCCTACCGAATTTTCCTGCCCCACCATGTCATAGTCACCTGGTTATGTGTTTAAATGTATGCACACATTCATACTGAATATTTTTGGTGAAAATAAAGCATCATTATTTCTTGTTGTAAGGGATATTAGATATCATGCATTTCCACTTCCCTCAGTTGCTTAGAAATAAAGAAACTCAGACCTAGAAAAGTCAGGCCATTTCCTCAATATCGTTCATCGTAAAATATGTTGCACAGTCCTATTTAAAAACATCCTGATTCACTATCTTATTTTAAAACTGTGTAAAATTAAAACCAAAAACTCGTGGATCATTTACAAAGGACCTTATATTCACAAAATTGGGAAAATGCTGCATCTCTGTAATGAAGTAACACCAAAACTACCATCTGTGTTTATATTAGTCCATTTTCACACTTATATAAAGATACTACTGGAGACTGGGTAATTTAAAAAGAAAAGAGGTTTAATTGACTCACGGTTCTACATTGCTCGGTAGGCCTCAGGAAACTTACAAGCATGGTGGAAGGTGAAGGGGAAGGAGGTACCTTCTTCACAAGACAGTAGGGGAGAGAAAGTGTTCAAAGGAAACTGACACTTTTAAAACCATCAGATCTCATGAGAACTCCCTCACTGTCATGAGAACAGCATGGAGAATACCGCCTTCATGATCCAATCACCTCCCACCAGATCCCTCATTAGACATGTGGAGATTACAATTCCAGATGAGATTTGGGTGGGGAGACAGAGCCAAACAATATCAGTGTTCTTCAAATACAGATTTTCACTAAAGCGAAACAAAGGTAGTGCTAAGAAGCATGAAAGTGTTTAAAAATATTTAGAACATTAACCAAAATTTCTATGCCCATTCTTGGTTTTTAGTAAACATAGTGAATGTTGCAAAATGGTTGTATTATTTTTTATTTTTCTATTTAATATTCTTAAATAGTTCCTGTTATATTTACTTATTATTAAATATATTTTCATTTATGTTTTAAATTATAAATTTTACAGTGGTCATTTTACTTAAAGCTTTGTTTAACATATGAATAAATCTATCACATATGTACTTATTTCAATTTACAAGCATTATTTAATCAATAGTTTCCTGATTTCTAGACCAATGTGTAACAAACTTTGAGAGTATCTACTACTCATTTTCTACGCATTTTTTATATATGTAACTAAGTGCCATTGAGAGTGAAGTATAAAAATTCTTAGCATGTCATGACAGGTTGATTACCTTTTGGGCAATGTTTGCTTATCATCCTCATCTCCTGAAATTCCAAGCTAAACCCTCCTCAGCCCTCTTCAGGGAATTTTGTGTATCTTAAGTGTTCCCGAAGTTTCCATATCATCTCACACATACTTCCATCTGCACAACTTTCTTTCTGTCCATTGAAGTTGTTTAAAGTTCATCCGACAATATTTGACTCATCCCTGAAACTTCAATTCAGATATTACTAGTTTATGAAATTTCACAGCCCAATCCTAGATAGGGCTAATACCCCGGGAGAAAATGAAGTATATTTCCAGCTGTTAAACTATGTTAGATAACTCATTTAATAATTACAACAGCAGTATAAATGTATATGTTGACCCTTTGGTGCCACTGATAAACACCGCTCTTAAGTAGGTAAAAGGTAGACAGAGAAGCTCCCTGTTCCTGCATGCCTCTCATTCTCTGAAGCATTCTGAAGCATTCATACTGCATGGTGTGACTTGACCAGTGAAGATTGGTGGTCCACTTACAAGATCTAGGGAATTATGCATTTCTGTTGATTATTTCTTATTCCTTTATTAGCCAGAGAGTTTTGTGAGATAATCAATGTTTCACAATTGATGAAATTTTAGCATATAAAACTTTTTGTTTTTCTAACAAGAAACAAAAATGAAATAAAAAAATTGTTTTTCCTATCTCAATACAAATTTCTCTTAGTTTCTCCCTTCTTTATTTTATTTTACTTTATTTTATTTTTTGAGACGGAGTCTCCCTCTCTCCCCCAGGCTGGAGTGCAGTGGCGCGATCTAGGCTCACTGCAAGCTCCGCCTCCCAGGTTCACACCATTCTCCTGCCTCAGCCTCCCGAGTAGCTGGAACTACAGGCGCCGGCCACCATGCCCGGATAATTTTTTTGTAGTTTTAGTAGAGACAGGGTTTCACCGTGTTAGCCAGGATGGTCTCGATCTCCTGACCTCATGATCTGGCCACCTCGGCCTCCCAAAGTGCTGGGATTACAGGCATGAGCCACCGTGCCTGACCAGTTTTCTCCCTTCTACGGAATGAAAATCACATGGTCTGTTTAAGAATCTTTTGTCACTTAGTTTTCTTACCCAAGAATAAAAAATAAATTTAAACTAAATTATATTTAATCACAAAATGGGTGCATATTTAATGCTATTAAACAATTTAGTAATATTTTCTAAAGTCCTATAAAGAACACACATAATATAATTTCCTGAAAGACTTCTACCATTCATGCTTTAAGCACTATTATCTATGAATTTATCTTTTAGAAGTGCTCACAAAAATTGCTCACTGATACATTGTAAGAGAAAAGGAAAAATGAAGCGCAAATTTAAACAATATAAAAGGCCATCAATCAAGGATTTCTGAGAAGAGCTTATAATCTTATTCCAATCCTACTTCCTAAAGCTAACTATTATTAATATTAAATATATCCTTCTAAGAATTATCATTTATATCTATGTAAATACCATTATGCCATAAACATGTTTTAACAAAAGGAAATTATCTTATGAATAGTATGGCCTCGAAGGATGGGCTGTCTCATCTCTGGAGCATTTGTGAGACTGGCAGTTGTTGGAAGGTCTTATATATCAGGCACTAGACAAAAGATATGCAAGAATATAATAATTTACTGCTTTACGTAGCAATGCAATGTAAACTATGTATTTTTCCTATTCCAAAGCATAGAGCTCAACTATTTTAAAATACATAAAATAATGTTTAATAAATTATTCTACAAACTTTCCGATGAGTAATTTCTTTTACTATGATGTATTTAACTGATGTTTTATAATGCCTTTCTACTTCAAACATATGAAATATTGAATACAAAGGCAATTTTAATGTATATGAGCTTAAAAATATAAAAGAGGGATGCCCAGGTGCCAATTAACAAAAAAGAACTCAAAACCACAGTGGTAGACTGAAATCAAAGTTGCATTATCCCCAGGGTATATTTTGATTGGAAATGTGCTTAGAGGCTTGGATTTTTAAACTAGTATGAAGATCAGAGTCAAGGCCTTAACACTGATGCATGGCTATAGCTAAAACTGATAAATCCCATAAATCAAGGAGCTGAGCAAAGCCTGTCTTACCTATGAATGGAGAACATAAAGCCCTGGTTAATGAGCTCACATGCTGTAATCACAAAGCATACATAGAAACTTATTTCCAACTCTCAATTTAAAAACAAATCCAGACTTAAGGAAAGAGATTTTATTTGAAAAGACTACTACAATAGAGAAAGCACTCTGACCTCAGTGTCTGTAACAAGCTTCTCAAAATCACACAGAAAAAGAGCTTTCTTATATAGGGAGGTTTAAACAGGGTATACAGGAACTTTGTGGGGGAAATTCCTGCAAATCCTTCTCATGTAGGGGTGAAGTGCAGGTATGGGAGTGAATATGCAGCATCAATGGAACAGTCCAATAGAAAATGTTCTCTGCTGTCAGCTGACTCTGAGAATGAGTTGTTAAGGGGGGATGTTCTGCACATTAGTGTTTGCTTAACTCTGGATTGAGTCAAATTTTAGGGGCCAGAGCGGGGAGATGGGAAGCGTGACTAAAGTTTGGGCAAGCCAAGACACTGGGTAAGTTACAGCATGTTGTGAGCACTTGGTCAGCACCTCCTGTTGTTAGACAAAAAATGTGCCCTTTAGGCTCTGACCGGAATAGAACAGGAGTCACTGTGAGGCCAACATTAGTCAAAGCCGTTTTCAGAGATAGACTGGCCTTTATGAGTTTTTTGTCCTTGCAGGATGGGCTGTCTCATCTCTGGAGCATTTGTGAGACTGGCAGTTGTTGGAAGGCCTTATATATTAGGCACTAAAGATATGCCAAGAATATAATAAAAATAATAATTATTAAAGGCTAAATAAGTGAATAAATCCAATATGTAAGTTTTGAAGGGAAGTTTGTGGGAAGATGAGAATATTTCAGGACTGAAGAATCCTTAGGTTGTGGAGTAAGGAGGACTGGCAATTCATCAAATTTTCAAAGTTGTGGTCTGAATATTTTTGGTGATGGCATAGACATCAGAGAGATTGTGAAAAAAAATACATATAGTAATTGCTCTGACCACTGTGCAAATGTCCTGCTAGAAAGCACAAATTATGTCCACTGCCACATATTTTGAAACAGCACTCCATTTTATAGTTCTCTGGTGATGATGTTAGCAGTTTTGGTAGGATTGCCACATAGTCCTGGTTATTCTCTTAGCAAATTATAGCAGATTCAATGAATTTCTCGAGTTGCCCACGTGTCAGTGGCACAAGGCACATAAAGTCGTTCATGATAGAACTGCAACAATGATGAGTCCTTCAAAGTATACATCAAATCATTGGATTTTAGCTTGCAGTACTTTTTAGATCCAAAAAGGTGTTGGACAGTCAAGTTTTAGTTCTTGGTGACACCAAGTCAGGAGAGAGAGAAAAAAATTGGACAAATTGGTTTGGCAGATTTTAACAGATGATGAAAGAAAATGGAAGGATTGAACATTTGGTAATGGTTGACAATTTGTGTTACGTGACAGGACACAGTCCAGTTCATAGTAAGGGACAAAGCTGTTTGAGAGAGGAAATGTAAACCAAAAGTATGTCTTATAATTTTCTGATAAACAAAATGTTTATTTTACAGTCACTCTCCCTTTGATTATAGATAATTTCAAGGATCCATTATTCTTGATAACAAAGTAAGACTAGCCTTGTTAGGTTTGGCCTGATTCTTTATATACGTGCTACAACAATGATAATTTACCTTAAAACCTTGCTTAACCTGCTTTTGCTAGAAGTTTATATAAAATGTATCAGACTAGACTTAAAAGCCTCTCAAAGCTATGAGGCCGAGCTAAGAGCTTACCATACAATTTTATGTGTAGTACTTACAGATTTGAGTGGATTTCACTTTTCTCTTTGTATCCAAAATATGCTAAGATTCCTGGGTCTGACAGAAGTGAACCTTCCCACTCATTTGAAAGACTGGAAATCTTACAACCCAGTCAACAAGACAATTTTCTCAAGAGGGCTTTGTAAGCATTGGTTCCATTAAGTTAATCTTACCTCCTAAAAAGTGTCTTGTCATATTTGATTAAATGAGCAATATTCTTAAATATGACATCTCAGTCAAAACCTCGGTTGCATGACCAATGTATTTCTTTAATAAGTAGGGCAGACTCTTATGGAATCTATGCAATAATTATATTGCCATGAAAAGTAATAATAATAGATTTCAAAGAGGAGCCAGCCAAAGAGAAAAGATAAATATTTTAATCCTGTTTACAAAAGTATAGTCAACTAAGTTTTATGGGTTGTAAATAGCTTAAAGGAAAAGAAAGGTTTCTTAAGTCCAGAAAATAGAACATCAAGGCAACCATTTTGCTTCAAACAAAACCATAATTATCCTTTTTTATCTCAAAATTATACGTAAGTTTATTCAGTCTTATGTATAATAGTCCAACCTTATCCACAGGGCATACATTTCAAGGCCCCCAGGAGATACATGAAACCATGGATAGCACTTAACACTGTATTACATTTTTCCTATACATACCATGATAAAGTTTAATTTAAGAATTAGGCAGAGTAAGAGATCAACAACAACAACTAAAAACAGAACAAGTATAACAACTATAGCAATATGTTAGCAATACTACTCTTATGCTTTGGGGCCATTATGAAGTAAAACATGGATTACTTGAACATAAGCACTGATCTATCAGGGCAGTTGATATGATAAGGGATATGATAATCCAGACCAAAGATGCTATTTAGTGACTCATGAGTGTTTAACATATACAACATGGAGACTGTGGACAAAAGGACAATTCATGTCCCGGGAAGGACAGAGTGGGACAGTACAATATCTTATCACACTACTCAGAATGGTGTGCAATTTAAAACTTATGAATTGTTCATTTCTGGAATTTTTCATTTAATATTTTCAGACCACAGTTGACCTCAGGTAACTGAAATGGAGGAAAAGGAAAAGACCACAGTTGACCTCAGGTAACTGAAATGGAGGAAAAGGAAACCACCGATGAATGGGGAGTGTTGTGATTAATTTTTTGTTCTGCTCAATCTTGGGATAGCATCTCATTATCCCATCTGCTTTTTGGTTTACTGGAATTCTTCATATCCTGATTCAGTCCACTGAGATGGTCTAAATGTTATTTAAATTATTCTATCAGAGACCTTGCTCAAAAATACCTGGCTGACAGTTATTTTTATGAGTCTGTAAGAAAATCTTTTTTTTTTTTTGACAAATCTGACCTGTAGTTGATTCAAAAGTGCTTTCAGGCAGGCAGGAGAGTTAAAAACTACATGTAGATGATAAAAGGCTTAAAATGGTTCTGGCAATCTTGCGAATAATTTTTGAAACTAAAATGTCATATAAAAGTTATTATAAAAATAATGTAAGTGGCAAGGTTGTTTCTGTGGAATGCAAAACAAAACAAAGTAAATCCCAAATGTTTTAGAGAAATTGTCTAATAAATTTAATTATTAATTTTGTTTTCAACAAAGATCAAATGTATCTAATTTATGAAAAGAGATGAACATAATATTTACAGAAAAAACTTCAGATATATGACAATTCCAAAACATAACATACTACAAAAATAACAAGCCAATAATTAAAATATATGAAGATACATTAAGACTATTAAGTAAACACATTCAGTATGTCTGGAGTAGCATCTGTATATTGATGAAATGAAACAGGAGCTATTACAACCAATATGACAAAAATACAAAAGATCATTCAAGGCTTCCATGCACACCTTTACCTGCATAAACTAGAAAATCTAGAGGAGATGGATAAATTCCTGGAAATATACGACCCTCCTAGATTAAATTAGGACGAAATAGAAACTCTAAACAGACCAATGACAAGCAGCAAGATTGAAATGGTAATTTAAAAACTGCCAACACAATAAAAAGTCCAAGACCAGATGGATTCACAGCTGAATTCTATCAGACATTCAAAAAAGAATTGGTAGCGATCCTCTTGACACTATGCACAGGATAGAGAAAGAAGGAATCCTTCCTAAATCATTCTATGAAGCCAGCCTCACCCTAATACCAAAATCAAGAAAGGACATAACCCAAACAGAAAACTACAGACCAGCTTTTTTTTTTCAAAGGCGGAGAATAAGAAATCAGCCCGAGCTCTCGCTCTCGCTCTCGCTCTCCCTCTCCCTCTCCCTGTCCCTGTCCCTCTCCCTCTCCCTGTCCCTCTCCCTCTCCCTCTCCCTCTCCCCACAGTCTCCCTCTCCCTCTCCCCACGGTCTCCCTCTCCCTCTCTTTCCACGGTCTCCCTCTCCCTCTCTTTCCACGGTCTCCCTCTGATGCCGAGCCGAAGCTGGACTGTGCTGCCGCCATCTCTGCTCACTGCAACCTCCCTGCCTGATTCTCCTGCCTCAGCCTGCCCAGTGCCATGAGGGAGCAAAGGCATAAAAATGATACAAAGGACTGGCTGGGCACAGTGGCTCACGCCTGTAATCCCAGCACTTTGGGAGGCCAAGGCGGGTGGATCACGGGGTCAGGAGATCAAGACCATCATGGCTAACACGGTGAAACCCCGTCTCTACTGAAAATACAAAAATAAAATTACCCGGGTGTGGTGGCGGGAGGCTGTAGTCCCAGCTACTCAGGAGGCTGAGGCAGGAGAATGGCGTGAACCTAGGAAGGGGAGCTTGCAGTGAGCCGAGATCATGCCACTGCACTCCAGCCTGGGGAGAGAGGGAGACTCCGTCTCAAAAAAAAAAAAAAAATGATACAAATGATACAATGGACTTTGGACTTTGGGGAGTTGGAGGAAAGGGTGGGAGGGGGGTGACAGAGAAAAGGCTACAGGTGATGGGTGCACCAAAATCTCAGAAATCACCACTAAAGAACTTAGTCATGTACAAAAATAAGAAGAAGAAAAAAAGTTAAAAAAAAAAAAACTCCATAATAAGTAATGTTAATTCTTAATTGAAAACCACTGAACTAGACTATACTGGATTCAAATGAGAGACATTTAACAGTCACCAAGTTAATATGTTAAAGGTTACTGAAATTATGACTGATAACACTATACTTTTTTGCCTAATAAACATCAGGCAAAACAGGACTGAATTTTGATGAATAGAAATATATCAAAACAGTGAGAGCATTGATAAATTACTAGGAGCCTTATACAGTCTCTAAAATATTTATATTAATAATTTATTTATACATATTTAATATAGGAAGGGCCAAGTATTTCATTTGACTTGACAACATTCCCCATAAAATTTACAATACATCAAATAACCCTAATCTTTTCTAGCACCTTTGTCATTACAAGGTCAAAGAGCAAATCCTTGGTGATTTTCCACAGACTCTCTGGAAAATCTCAAAGACAGTTTTATGTGGAAAATATATCTTTATTTTAGGAATTGCTTTGAGGAAGAGAAAAATGTTAAAAGTTGTCAGAAAGTTTGAGCATTTGATTAAGTAGAATCATGGGCTGTGAGAAACAATACTTGGCTACCTATTTAATCAAAGTGACAAAAAATGATATTAAAAGTAAACATAGCGAACCACTTCTCATTTGACAGCAGGAGAAGCTCCTCAGCATATATAGTGAAAATTGTTGTAATGTATTTTTTAAAGTATCTGAAAATAACCCTAAGGGCATAAAACAAATGAAGAAATATTTATTCAAGAAAATCTACGAAAACTCATTAAGAATTGTGAATCTGCAGAATCTGTGTATCTGACTGCCTGCCCTCCATCCTTCCCCCAGCTGTTTGAGATGAAAACTCCACTTTGGACTGGTACAGCCAAGAACGCAGGGCTCCCTTTCTCCCTGCAGGTCCCAAGAAAAAGGCCATTTTCCAAAGACAGGCAAGACAGCATTTCTCATGCTTCCCCCGGCTACCTACTGTGGAGGCTAAGTTCCTGGTGATTGTGGCCAAGAGGCAGAGAATACTCTTCCACTAAGCTCCACCCTGTGCCTCTGAGAATTCTGGGGTCCTGATTGCCTTTGCTGTAACTCATTGCTGTGAGAGGCAAGTCAAGAAGACCTAGTGCAGCTGCCTTCCCTATCCACTGACAGCTCAGTTCCTGAAGTGGGAGTGTCTTCAGACAGAAGCACACCATCGTCCACACCCACAGCAAAAACACTATGGCTCAGGGACTTTGCCCTGGGGGAAGCAGTCCACAGTACAAAACTCCCATCCCTCCCCTCAAAATTGACTTTACTTGCAACAGTGCACGGAGAGGTTCCTATGAAAGCTCTTGAACCAGTGAAAGTTGTGATGAAGGGCAATTGGGAAGAATTGGTAGGTTTGTTTAAAATAGAGACTGAAATGTAAGCTGGTTAATTTGCCAAAGATTAACAGGGAGAGAGATGGCTGGAAAAGCCCTCCTGTGGTCAGAACAAATCTAAAATACTGACTTCAGGAATTTTCCCTTTGAAGTGCTAGTATTTGATTAGATTAGTCTGTGGGGCAGGTTATGTCCCAAAGCATTATTGAAAACATTAGAGCAATCAGCCTGCAATTAGTGGAATTTAACAACTACGAATGGTCAGGAAAAGTGACAGTCAAAATAACAAACAGACAAACAAGGCTGGCAGGAACTTTGTAGGTAAGCAGGACAAGTAGGTAGGGGTGAGCAGACACCATAATCAGGTTGTCTGTTCACCCTCGCCTGCTGATTTAACAGGAAATGTTCTTCTCTGTGCTGTGGCACCATATTGATTGCTGAAGCTTAAAGTCAAGCCAAAATTTAAGGGCCTGTGGGGAGGAAAGAAAATCCACTAAAGTTCAGTCAAACCAAGTCATTGGGTAAGTTATTAGTAATACTGGGCACTCGGTAGCAACTGACAATTTGTACATCTAGGAGCTGTCAAATCCATATGCCAGGAGCTAAACATAATAGAGCAATAGGAAAGAGACTCAAACCATTTATGTTTAAATGCCCTCGGGACATTAAAGAAAAAAAAGAAAAATATAAGGATACAGAATATCATGGCTAGACTCTAACAGACACTAAAATGTAAGAATTCAAAACATTATAAATAGAAGCTAGATTTGGTAAACAGCCAAATATAATTTCTATAAAATAAAATTTACAGTTACTATAATAAAAGAATAACCTGAAATGAGTAAGTTATACAATAGCTAAAGAAAAGTTAATCAATTGTTTTAAAAATAGCAACAATAACAAACCAAAAATTGGAACATGAACTGGCAAAAGATTATAATCTATAATACATAAAGTTTAATAAAAATATAATATAGAAAATGATACAAAAAAGTGACGACTCAAGAAAATAAATGTACAATGTCAGTAAACATGTGACTTTATAAGAAACTAAAACAAATTTCTCAATTACTATATTTCCATTTCTCAATTACTATATTAAAGAAGAATTAAAATCATTGCTTATAAACACTAGTCTAGATTTAGGGAAATTAATCATGTCATGTATAACCTTTGATTGAAAGATGATTGTGGCCACTTTTGGGGAATAATTTGGCATTGTTAACAGAAAAACAAAACTGTAAAATATTTAAAGTGGTTTATTCTGAACTAATATGAGTGACTATGGCTCAGGAAACAGTCTCAAGCAGTCCTGAGAAAGTGTATCCGAGGTATCCAGGGTATGGTTTGGCTTTATACCTTTTAGGTAAAACCATTAAGTCAATACATTTTAGGTAAATCATAAGTCAATACATGGAAGTTGTAAGTTGGTTTAGCCTAAGGAGGCAGAATACCTTGAAGTAGGGTGATTCACAAGTCATAGGTGGATTCAGAGTTTCTGATTGATTGGCAGTTGGTTGAAAGAGTTAAGCTTTGCCTAAAGACTTGAAGTAAAAGCTTGAGTTAAGGTAAGGGGGAGTCATGGAGGCCAAGGTTCTCATGAGGCAGATGATGCCTCCAGGTAGCAGCCTTCAGAGAGAATCAATTATAAATGTGTCTTTTCAGACCTTAAAGGTTAGACTCTTTTAATCTGTTCTAGATCTGGGAAAGACATAGGCCTACAAAGTGAAGGTCTGCTGCATTAATGGAGATTCTCTACAGATGCAAATTTTCCCCACAAGAGATGGTTTTGCAGGGCCATTTCAAAACATGTCAAATTTATTTTGAGGTAAAATATTTTTATTTTCTTCAAGGTCTGCTATCTGTCATGTGATGCTATACCAGATTCAAGTTGGAATTTGGTAACTTATTGTCACAGAGTCTATTTTGTCAGTCTTACACTCTCTATTTCAATGTTAATACTGATCAGTTATGCCTAAACTCCAAAAGGGAGAGGATATAATGAGAACTGTCCAGCCTCCCTTCCATCATGGCCAACAATCCAGCTTTTCAGGTTTCTCTGGGGTCCTCTAGGCCAAGAGGGGATTTCATTCAGTTGGTTGGGGGGCTTAGGATTTTATTTTTGGTTTACAGCATTATATACTGACATTTTATGTGTGTGTCTTTGCCCTGACATATCTGCTTCTGGGAATGTATTTAATAAAATTCTCTTAATGTGTGTAAAAATATACAAAGAGTTTATTATGACAAAAATGTCAAACGATGTAAATTTTCACCCATAGAACAATTTTATGTAAGTACTTTTTAGAATATAACTTCACAATAAAGTTTACATAACTGGAGTTTTGCAATGTATTTTGACCTGTAATGGAGCTGCTTTTCTCTAAATGTATACTTATTAAGAAATAAAATAAATGGGTTTTACTGTGATTCTTTTGAATCGGGGAGCCACAAAGTGCATCTCAACTAGAAAACATTTAATTATAGTAATAATAAAATTATCAGATTCATATTAAATTTTCACATACCCTTCGATCACCTTAAATATTAATGTAGTAGTTTTATCTATGGCCAAAAAATTAAAACATTCATTTTAAGATATCTAGGTCTAATCATAAAACCCAGAGAAGTCAACTCTAAACCTGGAGAAGCCCTTAGAGTCCTGAAAACTGAATTATTTTTTAGCAAAAATAAAATACCTATTTTAAAAATGCAGAAGTCAAATTGAAAGATTCAGTGTAACGTAAAGTCTAGTATGAAGATATTTTAAAAGATTATGTGATTTTTCTGTTTCTTGATAGTTACTGCATTCAGATGGCTAGATTATAAAGACTGACCTTCCTCAGACAATAGACATTTAAGAAGTAAAAACTATGCCTTTTCTTTTTTTTTTTTTTTTTTTTTTTTGGAGGGATAGCAAGGTTGAGGGAAACACAAGACATATTTATCTGATAGATACAATGCAACCTAAACTTTACAAATCTGCTTATTCTTCTCTATGTATATGGAGCTAGAAAATCATAAGGAGAAATATAAAGACTTCAATATTGGTAGATCCCTGAGTGGGTTGAAATTTAAGCAATTCACCCATTAGTTTAGGAGTTTTGAGAGTGTAGAGGAGATTTGAGCCACATTACAGGTGAAAAGAATTCCAGGGAGATAAAATGTGTAAAATGTTTAAATGGAAATACACAGTGGATAGTGTGTTACGTGCTTTAGACACTCAGTAAGTTTCCTGCAAGCCAATGAGATCTTGGAGCAGCCTATTAATCCCTGGTGCTCAAATACCACCTGAGGTATTCAGAAAAACTGACATATCGAAATAAGCTAAATAAGTTGAAAGAGATCTTGTTTTATACAATGAGTTAGTAACCTGCCTATACCTATAATTGAGAATGTGGTGAAAAAATGGCCATATCTGGTGTTGGCATCACATAGGCAGACAACAAACAAAACCACATCATTCAACCTTCTCTCCACACCACCAACTGCCTCAAGGCTGAATAATATTTTAAGACAGCAATTGAAGAGATGGTTCTCATTAAATTCTCTGAAAATTATTTTTTAACTTAACTGAGTAAGAAAAAAATAATACATCCACTAGAAGATACTTCATAAGGACTAAAAGTGATAATATTTTATAATTTGTGAATGGTAATTGAGAGGTAAAGAAAATAACATTTGTAAAAGTCAATTCTTTTTTCCAGAGAGCAGATGATACATTAATTGGTAGATTGATACATACATAGATAAATGATAGATACATAGATACATAGATGATAGGATGGATGGAGATAAATACATACATACATATATACATACATAGACAGATATAAGATAGATGATAGATAATAGATAGATAGATGATAGGTAGAAGGGAGGGAGAGAGAGAAAGCAAGAAGGACAGATAGGGAGAGAGAGAGAAAGAAAGAGAGAGACAGAGGCAGAGAGAAGGAAAACAAACCACCATCTTTTCTTTCTGAATTAAGGATATTTTCTTGTTATATCCTATTGCTGACAGTTCCACCACTTTTCCCACAAGAAATTTGCTTTGATTGCTTTGTAAGGTAAACGGACTAGTTTCTCACACGTAAGATTTGTTTATTCTTCTTAACTAATTCAGAGTTAATGATCCCCAAAAATTGTTCAAACTTGTTCAGGGACCATCTGCCAAACCCAGAGACATTTCTTCCTGGGAATGAAAAGATGTCTGTGTTTATGTTCTTGTATTTATGCCTTTGGATAAATCTTGCATGGGAGGTTAGTAAGAATAAACTTTCGTCATATTTTACAATTCAAGGGATCCAGTTTTTTTCTAATGATAGTAATTATTGTCACCATTTCAGAGCACATTTTATTAGGTCCTGTGCTAACAATTCTATTAGAAAGTATTATCAGCTTATTTTAGAGAAGAACAAATTGCATTTAACAGAGATTACATCACTTTCCTAAGCCCTCCCAGCTAATAGGTGGCATATGTAGAATCAAAGTTGAGAGGGTGCTCACAGTCACTATACAACACCATTTTCATGTACTCTCAAACTCCAGGCCTCAAGTAATCCTCCTGCTTCAGCCTCCTTAGTCGCTGGAATTAAAAGTATGAGCCACTGTGCCTTCAATACACTCAAGACAAAATAATGTAGTTCTGTATAGTATTAACGGTATATACCACTTTGAAAATGTTAATTCATTTACATTTTCTTTACCATTTGAAAAAAACGTAAGCTTCGGTCTTCTGTGTTGAAAATAATCTGTAAGTGAGCAACAGCAGAAGAAACACCAGTTGAGACTATGACAGTAATTAGAATTCAGGCAACCGTGAATAGACCAGTGTGGTGGTAGTGAAAAAGTAGTGAGACATAGTCAGATTTTTGTGTATTTTTAAATAGAATATACTAATGAATTGGGAATGGGGTGTGAGAGAAATATAGCAATGAAGGATAGTTATAGTAGTCATAGCCGAATCACCTAGATAGATAAAGTTTCTATGGACTGAGCTGGGAATACTTTGGAAGGAGCAGGTCTGGGGTCAGAACAGAGGACAGCAAAGGGCAGGAGTTAGTCTTGGGCATGGTAAAGTTGAGATGCTTATTGTGCTCTTCGGTTTTGCTTTGAGTTTGTTCAGGAAAATAAATTTTATAAATTAAAACTCCATTGGATATAGAAATTAGGATTCATACCAATGTTGGATGATTTTGGAATTCAGGTACATTGATCAGGGAAATCATTACTGAAGGTCAGGGAAATCGTAGCTAGAGGTGAGGCAGACACCAAAGCACTGAAGCCCATAGTTCTCAAGTGTTCTCTGGAAATTTTTAAATCTTAAGACTTACTGACAAAGTTCACATTGTCTTAGTATGTAGCAATGAATCAGCTGATTCTCAGGTTCTCATGTGTCTGGCTGTGACTCTCATGCCTACACACACATCTGGCTGCTACTTCCATTAGAGAATAATGATCTTCCTATCATTTTGCTATCCAGATATTGAAACCTTCCCACCGATAGTCCTAACAAGAACCGTAGAGGGCAGCAGACACCAGGATATGCTCTTAGCTGTTCCTCACCATGCAGAAGGGACCTCAAAAGGGGTATGCCACATTGGGAAAAATATAATCCAATATAAATTTGTGATCAAAATATCTAGTGAGCAATTGGATAGAGAAGTTTGTTTCTGGGAATGAATGAGCAGCAGCATCATAGATGGTTTCCTAGGGCTGCCATAACAAAGTACTACAGACTAGGTGGCTTGAAACAAACAAAGCAACAAACACAACTGCCTCACAGTTCTAGAAGCTAAAAGTCCACAATCATGGTCTCATCGTGGTCATACTCCTTCTGAAAGTCTGGGCAGAATCCTTCCTTGTCTCTTTGTAGCTTCTTGTGGTGGCCAGCAATCCTCGCTTCTCCTTGTCCCACAGCTGCATCATTCCAATCTCTGCTTCTGTCATTGCATGGTACTCTTCCTGTTTGTCTCTGTCTTTACATGACATTTTTCTCTATTTATAAGGGCATTGGTTCTGTTAGATTAAGACCCACCTTAATGGCAGCATCTTAACTCGAATTTACTTGATTAATCAAGTTAATCAAGTCTGTAAAGAGACTGTAAAGACCCTATTTCCAAATAAAATAACATTCGCTGGCACCGTGGGTTAAGACGTCAACACATTTGGAGAGGGAGAGAGCATACTTAAACCCATAACAGTGGTCTTCAAAGTTCTGAGACTGGACCAAAAAAAAAAAAAAAAGTGAATTTAGGTAAGAAAGCGGAGAGCTCCTAAAATTCCCATCTGACACACAGAAGAGGCGATCAGAAAGAACAGCCAAGGAGATTAACAAAATATGGTCATTGAGATAGAAGCGTTTATAATTTTTAAAAAAAATTGCTGCTGTAACAAATCACCACAACTTAATGGCTGAAACAATACAAATAAAAATTTGGAAAAGTCAATGAATGATAATAGAAAAAATGAACAACCCTTTAAACAGAGAAAATGTTTGAATGTTGGTATTTTATTTGAATAGTACATAATTGCTTCTGAGATAGGAATAGCACTGGGTAGTCACAGGAGGATGGAAAAATCCAAACAACAACTAAAACAAGAACTATACAAAAATAAATCCACAGGGTAACAGAAAACCCAAAATAAGAGAGAGTAAATGGCCAAAATCTTGGTCAAGGTGACATGTCCATAAATCTTCTGGGCAAGCCCAAATAAGGGAGAAAGAGGACAGCAATGAGGGGCATCCCTGAAATCCCCCATTGTTCCAGAATACTGAGTGATTATTTCACCCTCTAATTAAAGGAACACCCATAAAATGAGAAACCCAAACTCTGTGGTGTGACTCATTCTCATGAGCATGCCTGCCTTCTCTCTTCAGTGTATACTTTTGTTTTGCAATAAGATTTCTTGCCTTTTGCTTCATTCTGACTTATCCCTGAATTCTTTCTTGCAATTATGTCAAGGGTCTGGGAACCAGCTGGGGCTGAGGTCTCACCAGCATCCCGAGACCCTGCGGAGTCTCTGACAATACTTCTACCAGTACACATGTTTTCATATGGGTTGATGAACATTTAGTTTTAAAAATGTATTTATTTTTCTATAGCTGACTGTTCATCTTGGCTTTAATAAATAAATAAAACGTTCTTGTCTTTTTGGAAAAAACAGAATTTTTAAAATATACCTCTACCTCTATTAATCAGTGTTCTCCAGAGAATCAGAACCAACACGGGGTGTGTGTGTGTGTGTGTGTGTGTGTAGGGTAAGCGAGAGAGAGAGAGATTATAAGGAATTGGCTCAAATGATTTTGGAGGTTGAGAAGTCCCAAGATCTACAGTCAGCAGGCTAGAGACCCAGGAGAGCCAATGGTGTGGTTCAAAATCTGACACACTCACGACCCACAAAGAGCCCATGTATCAGCTTGAATCAAAAGGTAAGAAAAAGGTGGATGTTCCAGCTCAGTCAGTCAGGAGGAATTTCCTCTTATTTACAGGAGAGTCAGCTTTTTTGTTCTATTCAAGGTTTCAATTGGTTGGATGAAGGCCACCACATTAGTGATAGCAATCTGCTCTACTCAGTCTGGCAATTCAAATGTTAATGTCATCCAAAACATCCTCCCAGACAAACCCAGAATAAGGTTTAACCCAGTACCTGGGCACCCTGTGACACAACCTGGTTGATACATAAAATTAACCATCACAGTCTATATCAAAAATATTCTTTGTGAACTCAGTAAGTGCCGTGCACTATTCTAGAAGTTGGAAATATATTACAGCAGAGGAAGCAACCGAACAAAAAAGTCTGCTTTGTTGTAGTTTACATTCTATGGAGGAAGATCGATTTTGTGTACAAATTAAGCATGTATGTATTTATACAATAGGATCTATTTAATATGTGTATTTTTAAATAGATTTTAAAATATTGAAGCTAAGTCTGAAATTTTTAAGAAGCTATTACAAAGACCATATTTATTCCATTTTTAATAAACTTTTATGTCTATGTTTGAACATCATGATTAAGCCAACTGAAAATTTGACGAAAAAAACTGAAACACGTTTATAACTCTTCAAATGTACTTTTAAACATTACTAAAAAGTAAGGGCATATTTTGTTTTGATATCCATCTTATTGAAATTATTCTTTAATTGTGATCACAAAACATAAAATCGGAGTTCTTCAACATTTATAAATACACAATTAAGTTGCTGGTTTTCAAGTGAAAATTAACATACATGGCTTTCATATACAAAAATAAAATACAAATTATATTGTTTAGTATTATATCAGTATGTTTTTGTTTTTCACAAATGTAATTATCATGTTTTTAAGGTATCAAATAGTTTTCCATAAACATGTACAAAGAATTTTTAAAGTATTATCTGACAATCTATTATTTATTCATCACCTCTACTTTGGATTTTTTTGAATATCAAATGAATTTTTACTTATTACTATTCCCTAACACTTTACAGTACTGTAAAATCAAACTATTATGAGCTTCTAAACTCTATCAATGTATACTTAAGGAATTTCTATGCATGTAGTTGTGAGCTTAGAGCTTTTCATAGAATGTGTAATTAATGTTAAAAATTGTTTTCTGTCTCTGAACATACTATTAGGATGCAAAACAAAAATTGTTACAAAATTTCTCTAAGGATTATTCTGCAATATTTTAGCACTATCTGAGTGATTGAATGCATTAGCAGTCTAGGAATTTCAGCTAGAATCTGCATTAATCCTTAGCAAGCCTGAGTTACACATATAGTAGAAACCCTGAAGAACTCTGTGCTTTTAATTACTGCTCCTTTCTTTCTAGATATAGAACTCCCCTGGTGATGAGCAACTGAATAAAAATCCATCATCAAGGCACTCAAAGTTTATCATTGTTACTAGTGACCTTACCATGAACCTAAGTTTAAGGACAGGTTAAAGGAAAGGCAGTGTGAGTGTAACATTTAAGAAACTAGCTTTATTAGAGTAAACATCAAAATAGTTAACTTGCTTGGTGTAGTAACAATTCTTATTAGGAATCTGGTCAGTATAGCAAAATAATTTGTTTCTGTTGTTCTTAAACTGAATACCCTCAACAAGTACTTTTTATAAATCAGAGCTAATTTTATTTTAAAGACGTTTTTAAAATACAGTAATGATAGACCTAAAATTTTATTTAGAAATTAACTTTTTTAAAGGTTTCTTAAAATTTTAATATAAACACTTCATATTTTCAAGTTCTCTGAGAAATATTTATAAATTTAGACATTCCTGGATTTGGTTGCATGTCCGCACCTCAGTTCTTCTTGATTCATTTTATTTCCAGAATATCTTTGAAATATAACAATCCAGGTATCTCCAAGAATCCCCAAATTATGAGAGTGCAATAGATTTGATACTGCTCAGTCCAGACTTAAAGATGTCTAACTTTTTAATGCATCATTTAAGTCAAATATTTTTCATTGACTTCCGTTCTTCTGTACCATCAATACTCTTGTACTGTTGCCCATATTGTGCACAATGATATTTCAATCTTTTTAAAAATGCCTCTAGTTCAGGAAGCCTCAACTGCTATGAACAATCAACCTAACAATTAGTCGATATTCACCAGTTTATTTCAATGTTTGTCAAGGTTTCTGGTGACTAAAACACATTAAAATTTTGTCAACATGTATGTATTTCCAACTGAGCTCATAATATTAAGGAGAGAAAATAAGAAAAAAATGGCTACCAGTTTCTTCTCAATAAAAGCAGAAAGTCTATTTCTAATACTTCTCTTTTTGGGTCCCAAAATATCACTGAGACACTTTCAGAATGCCATGATTTCATTTTGCTTCCCCATTTTGTTTTCATGGCTTTCTCCTTTGGTGTTCTAAACTTTCTATATTGAATCTTGTTAAACTTCCATGACATTTTTTTGTGATCTTCTTTCCTAATAATCAAGATACTTCTGTTTCTAACAGCACCCCTTACACAAGTAACTCCGTATTAGAAAAAGGCTCCATCTTACATTTCAATAGGCACCATGCCAACACAGACAATATGTTTTGCCTAATCAATAAAGACTGCATCCAACCAGATAAGGACATAACCAAGCACATTCTTCCACTATCAATCCTCACCAGAGGATTCTGTGGCCATAAAAATAGCAGGACTTCATCAGCTAAAAACATACATTTTAATAGACAATGTCTTGCTGTCACTTGTGATAAGCACCTGGCAACCCCAGGCTAAGGCTCTGCCAACATCAAAGACATTTCCTTGCAAGATGCTGATGCTGATGGGCTGTACAGGGCCAAGGCAGGACATTGTGTTTTTGTGCATGTTGCTCTCCACGAACTGATTCATTAACCCTTTTTCCTAACCCTTTTCTCTTGATCTTAAATGTTATTATACTTTGTTTGCTGTGGGTTAATTTATAACATTTTTATATTAACTATGTATACTATTGTATATGGATTGCAATATTGACTGACCTGTGGAATTGTTTGAGCCTGTGCGCTCACAGCTCTGACTACTGTGAACAGGAAGTACTAAGGAGAATTGCATCCTTGGGAACCCCATGAGGCTTGCTTTTAGGATTGAAATTGCATCAATAAAAGTCTGACATTGTGGAAAGACACAAGCCTGCCTGGACCTGGTTATCTCTGACTTTGTGCTGCTCAGGATAAGAAGGTTAAATCAAACACACTTTAAGAAAACAAAGGGAAGGGGGAAATTAAATGGCTTAGGTCATTGAGCCACTGAACCACCAGAGTAGGGTTGACTATAGTGACAACTGCAGTGACGGACTTGAACATTGTAACACTTATCTTTTGCACCTTGTTTTTACACCTCTCAGATGTCAGAATCACTTTCTTAGTAGAATTTCTCCGCAAGTCAAGAGATATGACTGGGTGATATACTGTAGGTTTCTATGTTTAAATAGAACTTCGGAGGACTTACCAAAAAGTATAGATTAAAGAGTGGGCTAATCTTAGTCTATGTCTCCCACATACTTGCTACAAATATTGAAACATACAATTTAAGTTTATATTGATAAAGAGATTATCGTAGTAACAAGTAATTGTAGTAACTAAGTTTTGGCTTTATCTTGTCTTATAAAGTCACCCTCATGAAAGTAAAATATTTAATTTGCTTGCTTAAGACCTTTATTACCTTACAGCAAAATAAAACAAAAGTTTGACATGTATACCTGCCTAAATTGTTTGCAAAAAATATTTTAGCTTTTTTTTTTTTTAAACACAAAGCAAACCAACATATTATGATCACAAACTTTTTTCTTCAACATAGCCACCAGTGTCACTTTACTTCAGATCCTTGAAGCTATCTTGTATGAGTGTGGTAAGAAGTAGGGCCAAGTGTGATTATTGACTGTAACTACGGAGTTTGATCCTCTTAGCAGATACGTCAATATATTTTTATTTTTTTAATCACGGGACGTAGAAAAGGATATATGCTCTGACTAGATAAATTTTGTAAATGGATATCTGATTTATATGAATGTATAAAATTATTTTTACCTCTCACATGCCATAATTATCAGTGAAAATATAATTGTATTTATGACAAATAAATAATGTCTATATTTTTTAAAATAATATATTTTGAATATTATATTTTTTTCAGAGAAGCTACAAAGGCAGAGATAACATTTCAAAAAATATTACATTGGCCGGGTTCGGTGGCTCACACCTGTAATCCCAGCACTTTGGGAGGCCGAGGCAGGCGGATCACAAGGTCAGGTGATCGAGACCATCCTGGCTAACAAGGTGAAACCCCGTCTCTACTAAAAATACAAAAATTAGCGGGCGCCTGTAGTCCCAGCTACTCAGAAGCCTGAGGAAGGAGAATGCCCTGAACCCGGGAGGCGGAGCTTGCAGTGAGCCGAGATTGTGCCACTGCACTCCAGCCTGGGCAGCAGAGTGAGACTCCGTCTCAAAAAAAAAAAAAAAATTACATAAATCTATGTAGTTAACACTTTTCTTCTTTAAATGGATGTATAATAGTTGTACATATTTTTGAGGTATGTGTAATATTTTGATATTTGTATATTATAAAATGTGTAATAATCAGGCTAATTTGGATATAAAAACTAGATGAAATAAGTTACAAAATTAAAAAAAGTTATAAGCTCCAAACATAACATCTTGTGTAAAAAACATTGGTATACAAAATGATTTACAGTGCTAACATTCCTCAAGAAAAGGGATCATAGGTGATATCTATTATCCTATCAAGTCCTTCAATACTTTCCAATCTTTTTGTCAATGTAGTCTTTCTTATTAATATAACTGGGACATATTTTGTATTCTATAGTATTTTCTGAATCAATTATAATTCCCCTGAGTGAAGGCCATATTTTATAAGTCTCTAATATCTACAATAGTATCTAGCACAGAGTATCACAACTATATACTGAATATGAATCTATTATTAGTTTTTCTTACTATATTTTTAAAGAGGGCAGAAGAATGTCTTAAAATATACTACAAATTAACATAATTAGATAAAAAGTAATAATGACCATTTTCACACCCACATAATACACATCTCAGTGAGAAGTATTAAAGGTGAAATAACATGAAATACTGCATTTTTTAAGTCCTTAGTGATCTTTAGACTGAAATAGTAACTAGAAGAGTCTACAAAGAGCTGTTTTGATGTTGCATTGTTCAAGGCTGAGACTCTAGGACAGGTAATGAGTCGGATATTTTACGAAATGCTAAGCAGCACCAAAAAAACGTGTCTACTATAGAATGTGCAGAACATCCTTATTTGTCATAGATTAAAAACTCTGCATTTCTGCCTTGTGATTTATTTATGAAGCTGTTTCTTCCAATGTGAATAATGTAGCACTTGAAGGATGCATATTTCTTCAAGTTACCAGAGGAGTGCTTCTCTTGATAGCTGAAGGGTTTCTTGAAACATTTAGTAATATTTTGCAAGTTTTGAATATCTTTCAGAAAAATCACCTTCCCCAACTATTTTTTAAATTCACTTTATCAATATGTTTCCATTTAACTTTAGCATTCATTTAGCTTCCAGGATGATTTTCTTGACATAATATTCCAAATTTTCTCAGATCCAGAGGCAAGACTTACACCAAATAAGTTCCCTATCAACAAGGGAGCAACAGAGGAGATCACAGAATGGTTTAGTTTAATTTTACTCATCTTAATCCTTTCATTCATCCAACATACATATATTAGCTACTCTTTATGAATGAGGACTTAGATAGACCTTGGTGATATAGAGAAATAATAAAGTATGTTTCTGAATTGTAAGATGCATATGCTTTACTGGAATTAATACTTAAGCAAATAGAGATTATAAAACAATGCTAGATGTACAATGGGGTTGTTGCTGATCACAGAAAGGTGAGAATATTCTGGTCAAAGAACAATGCAACCATATTTGAAGATTAGTTTCAGTGACATACATAAAGTAAAGGTCTGAAGCATTACTGTCCAAGGAATCATTTTAAAAGCCTGGACCACAATGAGTCTAATATACCACATAATCAGAAAATAATATTGACAGGACATAACCCATTAATGAATAAGATCTGACTGAAATGGCTGCCTTCAGAAAACCACTGCGAAATTTGATATGATATAAGACAGCACTGGTTAAAAAAAGAATTTGTCATATTTTGGTGCAGGTACATGCTCAGAGAAGGGGATTTTTATGAAGTAGAATTCAATTTTTTGTGGATTTTATCTGGAGATTCTGCATATTGCAGTATATCAGGCGGCAGTGGAAATCCCGTCATTGTTGCCTGGAAAATTAGAGAACTGAAAATAGGGAATCAGTGGTTGCTGCAAAAAGAGGAAAAAGTTGTGAAAATTGGAGAAAAGAAAAAAAAAAAGAGATGGGAAATTATCTCTACTATAGCTCTCTCTGACCCCTGAACTATGCATGTGTGGAACAGATTTAAGAAAAAAACTCAGCAAAAAATTATATACCTAAAATGAGACAGTGGATGGGGCCAATAAACAGGTTTGATTTGTGTCCAGTGAAGATAGTTGAATGCTAAACAGAAACAACTCTCAACGGAGAAAAATGACATAATCTTCTGTCTTTCCAAGTTTCTATTCATAATTTTGAAGAATCCATCTAAAATTACTTTATATAAGAAAAACTGGGAAAATGGGAAACATTCTCAAAAGGAAAAAAATGAAACCAATAACAAGATAACCTCGATATTGTAAATAGCAGACATTAATGTTAAAATAGCAAATATAACTACTATAAGATCACAATATGCTCATAATTAAGGAAAGATATGAATTCTTAATATATCTACATATTATAAGGAGGAAGCAAATGTAAATGTAACTTAGATGTGAAAAGTACCATCTCTGAAATAGTAAATTCACTAGATGAATATAAGCCTTAATGGAGATGACAAGGGAAAGAGAAAGTGACCTTGAAGGAAGAGCAATAAAAACAACCACCACCACCACCACCACACACACAGACACATACACAGACACAAACACACACAAATATAAATGAAAATGAACAGAGCCATAGAATCAGTTAGATATTATTAAAGAGTCTGAAATCTGTGTAATTGGAATTCAGAATGAACGAAGAGAACTGGAGGGAAGAAAAAATATATATGAATAGACACATGCATATATACGTACACACACACACACACACACACGTATACCACATCATTTGAAGATGCAACTCTTGAAGTTTTCCCACACTCTTTTAGATACATTTTCAGACTCACATCATAAAATTTGCTCAATTGGGGTTTGCTTTCCATTTTTGGTTTAAAAAACTCTGTTTCTCCCACTCTTATTATTTATGTGTATACACATATATAATGTATATACACATATATATTCATACACACAGCAGGTTTACTACTGTTAATCAATTAAAAAAATACACACTACCAGAGAAGCATGAGCATAAAATGTGGATCAATTTTATGATTACATGCTCCACTTGCCATTGTCTTAAGCAGCCCTCTCCTTGCCATTGATGCATAACTGTTGAGCCTAAAGCATCCACTCCCACCATCACCTTGTATTATGGTCTTAAAAGGCAACTCAGAAGCTGATGCTCTGATTAGGTAATGTCATGTGGAATCATCATTTTCAGCGTGATGGTATCCATTATTTATCTTTGTTTTTTTAAAAACAATAGTATAATTTCCTCAAACTTAAAAAAACTGTTAAAATAGTTCCATATTAATTGATCAATCTTAATTATCATTTACCACTATTGGTGATACTGTTTGGCAACTTGAATGAGATACTAACTGCCATAACTAGCTCATTGCAAAAGTTCATTTTTTTCTTTTAAATACATCATTAGTCAGTAAATTTACACCCATTAGTTTTGCATCCATCTACTATCCTGACTTTAGCCAGCTTTTACATTAGGTTTGCAAAGTTGGGTCTTTCTTGTTCTAGTTCTATCTTTGCTTCTAAATATATTTGCTGTTTGCTTCTACAAATAAGCAGTTTTTATAAAGGTAAATTTTAAACTTATAATAAATCTTGGAGTACTGCTAGAAAGCAGAGTAATATGGAATAGATCGAGTAAGAAAGAGTTTGTAAACAAACTGAAAAGTCTTTCCCAGAAGTAGCCCTGACGAATGAAAATCGACAGAACTTTTTAAAGCTGCAGTGGCAGAATCAATACTAAGAGTTGTCAGAAAACCATTCAGTATGGATATGTCTAGATTTGAAGGCATCAGCACAGACTACTTTATGCCTTATTTGGGGAATTTAAAATAAATCCAATGATTCCAGTTTTGGAAGCATAAATAGCTCTTTCTGTAATCCATGTGCCTGGCAAATTTATAGACTTAAGATGCTAAAGGAAGGAATATAAGATGAAACACTCACTACAGATACTAGACAGAAAAGAAAACACATCAAGAATTGAGTTGTATTTTAGACTGATAGATTATCTCTCTAAGGGAATCATACTAGTGAGTGAGAGGAAGTTTTTGGAAAAGATTCTTAAAACTGTTGATAATTTGGGAAACCTAGAATATAAATTACATTATTAAAATGAAGGAACCTACAAGAGAGTACCCAATGAGTATATTATAGCAATAAATGAAATTATAGAAGTTAAAATATAAATCAGGATTCCAACTTTTGCCTAAGAAGTAGTGTGATGATTAATATTCAGTGTCAACTTGATTGGATTGAAGAATGCAAAGTATTGTGTCTGGGTATGTCCGCGAGGGTGTTGCCAAAGGAGATTAATATTTGAATCAGTGGACTGGGAAAGGCAAACCCACCATCAATCTTGGTGGGCACCATCTAATCAGCAGCCAGCACGGCTAGAATAAAACAAGCAGAAAGAAGTTGGAAGGACTTGATTTGCTGAGTCTTCTGGCTTTCATCTTTCTCCCATACTGTATGCTTCCTGCCCTCAAACATTAGACTCCCAGTTTTTCAGCTTTTGGATTCTTGGACTTGCACCAGTGGTTTACCAGAGGCTCTTGGGCCTTTGGCCAGAGACTGAAGGCTGCACTGTCGGCTTCCCTACTTTTGAGGTTTTGGGACTCAAAGTGATCCACCACTGGTTTCTTTGCTCCTCAACTTGTAGATGGACTATCGTGGGAGGTTATCTTGTTATCATGTATGTCAATTATCCTTAATAAACTCCCTTTCATATATACATATATCCTATTAGTTTTGTCCCTCTAGAGAGCCCTGCAAGTATAAAGCTGGAAGAGGTATTATTTCTATGGAAATAACAACATCAAAGGCACAATAATCTAAAAAAAAAAAAGGACTTCTTAAACTCATCAAAGGTTTGAGGTTACAGAGACATTTAGTAGCTTAAAATTAAAAATAAATAAATAAATAGTAATAGATGCATGTAAGGAGAAATAGAGTCCAAGGACTGGCTCACTAATGGCAGAGGGTAAGAAAAAGAATACTGCCATTAAAGTGTTATCTAAATGCCAGGGTTTCAGTCTAGGTCCCGCTGCTCTCAGCACAGAAAGCCAATCACTGAAATGATGAGCATTAACAGGGAAGAAGCTAATCAGGTACTGCACCCAAATAAATGGGAAATCAGTCTTAGGTCCATTTCACTGATGAACTAAAAGTATGGGTTTATTTAGCAAGGAAGAAATGTAACTATGCATGAAAAAAACAGGAACTCAGGTGGGGTTAGGAAGCAATCATGGATGAGGGGCCCAGCATATTATTGCCTGGATGCAAGTTTCAGTTCTTTGATACTTTTTAATAATCCTGAAGGTCCATTTCTGAGGAAAGAACCCAGATAAAACTGGCATAAGTTTCAAGATTTAAAACCAGAAGAGTCAATTTCTATGTTTATGAAAATAAAAACAAAAAGAGTCTATGGGACATTTGGGTTGGTTTCAGCCCCTTTTTTCTATTTATCCATTCTTCAACCATGGTGAATCTGTTGTCAATTTTTCTGGCTTCTTCATGCTGAGGAGGGGCATTGTGGGAAGCTCCATAGCATGAGTGACTAGTTTTCTTCTGAAACACAATCTTTCTCTCTCCAGCCCCCCACTTCCACCAAAGACAAATCACAGCAGGATCAACCTACCTGCAAAGTAAGCTGCAGTCCCATATATTTGGCCTAATTACCCACACAAAATGCAGCAAGACTGATTGTCCACATAGGCTGTCCTAAACTGGCCTTGCTAGACCTCTCACAAGACCATTTCAGTCAAAGCCCTGGGCAAATAACCAGTACCTTCACTTGTATCCTGTTAGAAAATAGATTCTTAATGAATTATTCAAAGAAGTTATATTAATTAAAAATATTCATAAATACAAATAATTTACAAATTCTGGAGAAATTAGGCAAATGGAGAAAAATGCCTCAAATTATGTTTATAATAGTATACTCAATTGTTAAAGGCTATAAATAGCTCAAAAGAAAAAAGGTTATCCAAAGACTCTGAAGAATCATCAATGTTTCAAACAAAAAATTATTTCAATCCTCTATCAGTTCAATCCATTCAATCAACTCCTGCTCTGATTCATATGGTTAGCAATCTCCATTAACACATAAGCCTTTTAATTAGTACCCTGGAAATTTTCTTTCTTGTCCAATGACACAATCTCCAAAATTATCAGAAACCTGCATTCAGGAGTCATTTTCATGAACTTCCTCAAAGAAGCAAGCCCTGGACAGCAGCTGATTATAAGCGTCTTCCTGAGAAGGATCAAAGCAAAACAACAATTGCGGATGACAAAAGTCTTTAGTCAGCCATAGTCAAAAAGACACAGTTGACAATAAAATTAGATTTCTGTGGCATACAACAATTTAACATGATCATCATAATTATTACTGACAACATATTAAGACATGTCAGATTTTTATGAATATCCTACAATCTTGGAATACATATTAACAAAACATCTGTATAAATATAACCTAAAGGAAACTAAATGCCATCTCAGATTTGATAATGCTTGATGAATAATTCTAACATAACCAATAAGACTCATATATCTCCCTTGGACTTCAGGAAACCTAATATCCAAAATAGTTATTTTGAGGTAAAAAAGACTGAATTTAGAACTTGAAATTTTGCTCTTGGGAAGTTTGACAAATATCAAAGTATTAAGACACTTGAAATCACAAAATAGGATCATAAGTCATTATAAAATAGTCATTCATTTAGCCAAAATGATAAAACTGAAATGTTTACCTTTTAATAGAAGATTCAGGTTCCCAAACAATAAGATCTAATAAAGACAGTATGAGGTCAAATAAATCTGTCTCTCCCCCCTCCACTTTTTCCCTGCAGTTCACATAAAAGGTAAACAAAAATATTGTATCTCTTAGTAATATTACACAAACATTATATTCAAAAGTGAAAATAAAAATGTTACCTTTGTATGATATATTATTAATGTGAAAGTTAATTTCAATAAAATTTTATAAACATGTCTATTTACTTAAAATCAGTTTGATCATAAGGTAAGATATCCATAAACTTTTAATAACCTTTTACAATTCTTTATTAAAGAGTAGATCAATACTCCAAGAAAACGCTACTATTATGAAACATGAGCTCAGACTTGGGCCTTGAATCAGTGTGCTTTTGATATTAATGTTTAATTCATAGAAAAATTCTGAACTAATCTTATCCCTCAAAATCGGTTCTTACAATCTCACATGCCCACCTTTTCTACAATAGTCCTTGAGCCTCAATTGAATGGTTTTAATTTCTGGCCCTGTGTCTCAAGAAAACAGTTCATTTTGATTGTCATGTTCTCCTGGGTCTGAAGACAAGAATTCGAGTAGTGTCAATGCTCAAGATTTAGCAGTGACTTTTTCAGACCCAGGAGTCAAAGCCCCGTAACTTAATAGCACAAGGATTAGTTAATAGGATATTTATACTACAGAAAATCCTATCATTCTGTCTAATATATTACAAATTAAAACACTATGATTTGGTGTCCCGTAGTGACTGCCTGCGGCACTTCATTGTATTAAAGTGGTCAGATTACTCCTTGCATATGTCTAACTTCTAGCATTCTAGTGACAGAACTGTGACAAAAAGCATCAAAAATTAATAGGTTCTTTGCCAATCTTATCAAAGTAATGATAGAGGTAAGAGGCAGAGAAATTCTAGGCAGACAAGGTTGGGTCCCCAGTGAAACCCCACCTTCAATCCATGCCTGAAACCCACACCCCGAAGTGAGAAATTCTATTCCTGTTTGCCCACTCTATCCCTAAATAATGTATTTTTATGAATTGAATGTTGCTTTTTCCAAAACTACCTACAGCCCTCCTGCCCCCATCCTGTGCCTATGAAGACCCCAGACTCATTTGGTAGAGGGGAAGATGGCCAGACTTCAGTGAGATGGCTGGACTTCAGGGAAGAGATGGCTGGACTATGGAAGAGACAACCTGACTATGGGGGAAAATGACCAGCCCGTACAGTCTCCTCTGCAGCTTGCCTCTCCACTGAGAGCCATTTTCATTGCTTAATAAAATTATCTGCCCTTCAGTTGTCTGTGCAACCTCATTCTTCTTGGACACTACACAAGAGCTCAGGACCCCTGTGTATGGCTATCCAGAAAAGCCAACACACCAGCCCTTTGTCCCTGCTGGTGGAGGATGGCCACCCCATGCAATGAGGCAAGGGGCCTACTGAGTTTCTAACACACTGCTGTCCATGGATGGTGTAACTAAGAGAGCACTGTAACACCCTCTCTGGGGCCTTGGGGTCATGGGCATCCTCACTAGGGTGCCACCGCCAGGAGCAAACTGAGCCGCTAACACACTGCGGTCTGCAGACAGCAGAACTAAGAGAGCACTGTAACACCCCCTCTGGGGCTTCGGCGTTGCAGGCACCCACACCTGGGCGCTGCCATGGGTCCCGTATGGAGCTTGCTCCAGCTAGCACCCAGAGCAACCGGCTAGATCCCACACTCACATATTCACGTCTGGTCTGGCCGTGGGACATGCACAGAGTTTGTGCCCGTGTCGGTGCCCAGACTGGCTTGCCAGGTCCCACACTCACTTGCTCACATGTTCCCTCCTGCAAGAGGTTGAGTGTAGCAGGCCAAGTAGAGGGGGGCGCCCCTGTTGTGAGTCTGTCATAGGGTCTGAGAAAAATACTGTGTCAGTAAGACAACTAACTTTTCTCCCCATCATTAAAGAACAGTAAATGCAAATATCAGAAATTAAATATGAGGAGAAATAATGTCCTTCCACTTAAATATTATACTACAAAACAGAAACAAAGTAAGAACAACCACACAGTAACTTATTTTCGGCTATTTAAAAGAGCATGATCACACATTTCCAAAATTGATTTATAGATACAGTACTGACAACTGATTAGGTAACTTTTGCCACTAATATCTTCAAACTAGTGCAACAATTGTACACATTTTGTTTTCAAGTATACACATAAAGGTCCATCAGTGATAAATGGCTTGGGATCAAAAATCACTAGTAAGTCTCACATATGCTTATTACTACCTAATCCAAGTGAATACCACTTAATTTAAGAATGGTCACCACAACTAAATTAGTTTGAGATTAATCCCATTCAATATGATTTCCTTAAGGATGAGACCAATCATTAAAAGTTTGTACCCATGTCACAGTGTTTCCTCATTATCTGAAAGAAAATATATGAAAATCAACTCCAATTATTGATTAGACTGAATAACCTTGGAAATAAACACCATTTAAACATTTTAATTATCATCCACCTTTTCAAATAACAAAATAAATAAGGTACTACCTCTGTTCAGAACTTGTAGAAAAAAGTCTTTTTTTTTTTTTTTTTGCTAGGAACATTAAAGCTCTTGTGGCTCTCTAGATAATCAGAGTTAAGCAAAACCAACCAAATTTTAAATAGCTGGTGTCCTTTATTAATTTTTGGAGGCTTGACAAAGGTAGCTTACAAACTTTAGATAAATAGAGCAAATTGGTCAGGCGCGGTGGCTCACGCCTGTAATCCCATCACTTTGGGAGGTGGAGGTGTCGGAATCACGAGGTCAGGAGATCGAGACCATCCTGGCCAACGTGGTGAAACCCTGTCTCTACTAAAAATACAAAAATTAGCCGGGCGTGGTGGTGTGTGCCTGTAATCCCAGCTACTTGGGAGGCTGAGGCAGGAGAATCACTTGAATCAGGGAGTTGAAGGTTGCAGTGAGCTGAGATCGCACCACTGCATTCCAGCCTGGTGACAGAGTGAGACCCCATGCCAAAACAAAACAAAACAAAAATAGAACAAATTGTGAACTGTTGGAAATGCATAGGAAACAAATCTATGACTATTCATGGAACCCAATAAAAGCCTTTATTGGAAACTAAAATAAATCAATGGTTTTATATATGTATATATAAGTAAAACTCAAGGGAGAACAAACAGCACATAAATGAAAACTAGAAGCAAAAACAAATAAACAGGAAATGAACCCCCAATTTTTCCCCCTACTCAGTTTACCTTATAAGCTGAAGTGTCACCCAGGGCCTGATAAAATACAAGGTGGATATTTTGTTCCTGATATATAATTTAATGACTTGTAAGTCCGTCAATAACACTATATATTTTGTGCAATTAAGTAATTCATTTTAGATACATGATCAGTAAGTACCTTAGTGCTAGTACTATCTATGCAGAATAGCAAATATAGTGTGAAGCAATGCAAGTATTTATGAGAAATTTGGCTCCACACTAAACTTAGCTGAATGTTTAATGATATTAAAAAAGAATGCCAAACTGCCAATGTATTTATTTATTATATTTCTTATTTTACCTTCATCAAGACAAAGAGCCTTAACTATAAGCAATATTAATCAACCGTATTTCACCAATTTTCTATCAGGCTTTAGATAATATCTTATTACCTAAACTTTTTCCACTCCCTATTTTCTTTGTACATGCATGAATATAGACACATGGAGAAACAGGATAAAAACTGCATATGACTTACACAGACCCTCTATGATATCCTTGAACATTCTGTTTTGTCCTAAATTTTCTTTCTTTTTTTTTTTCTTTTATTTATTTTTTTTTTAATAAACAACCAGTAATCCAGTCATTTTACTTTAGGAGAAGAATTCACCACACATGATCTTTTCACAAGCAAAACTACGTTTTTCTTTATAACCTTTATAACCTGTGTTCCTTAACAAAAACACATCTTCATATCCATAACTGTGTTTACATCTCTCTTCAATATTTACTGGTTCCTTACTACCCTGTTTCATAAATAACCTTTTCTAATACATAATTTGAATTAACCTTTTGATAACCTATAAATTAGTAAAATGATTCTTTTTCTCTATAAAAACACATCTTTGGCATATTTTATATACAAAATTATATATTAACCAGAATATATAATTCTTCTCCTTAGTAACCTCAAATTTTAGTGAAAACTTAGGAAGAAATCCTGAACTGGCTATTAGATATTAGCATTTTATTGATGGGAACCATTCCACAATTTTTAGAGACATATTTCCCCATATCATAAACTTTTCTTAATTGTAAATGCCCCAGATATCCAATGAGCATCGATTATAAAATCCAAAACAAGTTTAAGATTTTAAATTACATAAAAAGTTTACCTACAACATTTATCTCACTTACATGCACTCATTTTTTTCATTTTTAAGTTCTAGTTACTTTTGAAAATTGTGATATTAGACACAGCTTGTCTTCATTTAAAGTTAGCTATTTCCTTGTTAACTGTTTTTTTATAGACAGTGAACATCAAATCCTCACCTAAGTAAGAACCTTAACATTGAATACACAGGTATTTTTGGCAATAATGCAGAAGATTCAGCTAACACCATTAAATTAGTCTCATTTGTCAAATAAGAGACATAAACCAAGATTAGTTCCTTTTGGCTGGAGTTATCATTTTATAACCTTCTATGCCAAACCCTGGTACCTCAAAATATCTAGCAGAGACAAACATAAACCAGACCAAGATGCATTCTGACAATTCTGAAGATACTTCTATTTATATTTTATCAATAATTTTAAAGCCAGATTGTTTATTAAAGGTTTACTTATGTCATGGGGACTTGAAAAATACTTCAGGCTTACTTAATTTATAAGTGATCTTTCATTTATAAGCCGATTTGGTAGATACAACATTTAACATAATAAATGTACATACATAAATACATATAGAATGTATACACACATAAAAACAAAGATCCAGTGGCTTTTATCTCAGAACTGTAGCCATGAGATAGCCATACAAACTCACCAGTTTACATGGCTACATATTTGTTTCACCCCAGTAGGCTACCCAGCGAAGGGTGTGAACTAAACTTTTTGGTAAAGCCGTTTCCATGACAGTTTAATTTTTGATGACCAAACTTCCCCAGACTCCAAAGAACACTGGAGCCAAACAGCACCACAGAAGGATATCACTTGGACCCTAATAAGGAGGCCCAACCTTGCTTAAAACAGCAACATAAAAGCCTGAAGACATAGAAATTCATCTCACTTTTTAATTCAACAGCAAACTCTAAATTCCAAAGAATACTGGGGCCAAAAAGCATTACAAAAAAGTATCAGTTTAGCAAATTCTAATTTCCCATAACCTATATTCACACACACGCACACACACACACAATCACCAAAATGCAATGCAACTTCTGCAGCAACAGACAATCCCCAAGAGTGTCCAAACTGAAACAGTCAGGGTCCATTCCTCTCAATATGTTGGGCTTTTTCAACCTGTAAATGGAAATTCCTTCAGAATTTTCCAATTTCAGAGAAGCAGATTGCACTATCTGGTAGCCACAAAACACACTCACTTGCCTGGACACACACACGACACACAATTACAAACAAGCCTCTAAGTGTCCATACTAAAATACTCAGAGTGCTTCCCTCTGTCAGTCAGCTGGGCTTGTTAGCCTGCAAGAGGAAATTCCTTTAAAATTTCCCAAATTGAGAGCAGCAGATCTTGTTGTCTGGACCCACAACACTGCTCAGGAGGACTTCTGAAACTCCCAGCCCATGACAGCTGAGCCACAAGCAACAGGTTTCTGACAGGGAACCAAAATCTGTTACTAAAACTCAGGGGTTCAGTCTTGGTCCTGCTGCTTGCAGTACAGAAAGCCAATCACTAAGACAGCAATTATTGCCAAGGAAGAAGGCTTTAATCGGGGGCAGTAGCAGAGGAAATGGGAAGTCAGTCTCAAATCCATCTCCCTGACTGACTAAACGTAGAGGTTTATATAGCAGGGAAGGAATGTAACCATGTATGGGAAAACAGGCTCTCAGGAGGGGTAGAAAGCAAATGCAGGGCCTGGCGTCTCACTGTCTGGATGTGATAAGCTGGTGAGTTTTAGTTCTTTGATACCTTTTGAGAGTCCTGAGGGTCTTTTCCAGAGGAAAGAACTCAGATAAAACAAATGTACTTTTCAAGTTTTAAGACTAGAAATATTGATTTCTATGTTGATTTTAAAATTTTTTTGATGGGATTAATATGTCTGTTTCAAAAGTAAGAAAATCTCCGTTACAACTTTCAGTTTATTGCTGAAGACTGATTGTAACTTAACATGAGAGCTGCAGACATGTTGGAGATTTTGTAGGCACCCTTGTGCTATTCATCATGAAACTCCATAAGGCACACAGAAGTTAGTCTGAGCAATGAGTAAAAGGCAGGATAAAACCACCTACCTGGTACAGGCCTGGAAGAAGGTAGCAGCAGCCACAAGGGAAGAGGCAAAAAGCCTTGACAAAACTCTTTGCTTCTGAAGACAAAAGCCTAAATTTGAAACTGAAAGGGCAACCAATACGGAGGACAACAAGGTACAGTGTTATTGTTTTTGTTTTTTAAAGTATGAAAGAGGGCCGGGTGTGGTGGCTTATGCCTGTAATCCCAGCACATTGGGATGCCAAGGCGGGCAGATCACATGAGGTCGGGAGTTTGAGACCAGCATGAGCAACATGAAGAAACCCGTCTCTACTAAAAATACAAAAAATTAGCTGGGTGTGGTGGTGCATGCCTGTAATCCCAGTTACTCGGGAGGCTGAGGCAGGAGAATCACTTGAACCTGGGATGTGGTGGTTGCGGTGAGCCGAGATCATTCCATTGCACTCCCAGAAAAACTCTATCTCAAAAAAAAAAGAAGAAAGTATGAAAGAGGACAAAAAATATTTTTATCCTGAGGGTGTGGCCATTTGCAGGTATACATATAATTTACTTCAGCCTGGCAGTGGGTGATGAGGATATTCTTAGTTGTCCTGAGCATATTTAGCTTACAGTATACCTTGTTTTTCTTGGTCTCAGAAATGGGCCTTTCTTGTTAATCTTACATTTTCTCCAGCAGGCAAGCACTCACTGAAAAAAGCAGCTACTATCTACAACTGGGGGAGGAACAATAGCATAAACAAAGACACTCTCTGAGGAAAAACACAGAAAAGTCCTAAAGGTGAGGGTGCAATAAGAATATTGAGTGACAATGTCAACAAAGCAGCCACACTTTAACCATAAGAACACTGGGGGTCGGGCACAGTGGCTCACACCTGTAATCCCAGCACTTTGGGAGGCCAAGGTGGGTGAATCACCTGAGGTCGGCAGTTTGAGACCAGCCTGACCAACATGGAGAAACCCCGTCTCTACTAAAAATACAAAATTAGCCGGGTATGGTGCTGCATGCCTGTTATCCCAGCTACTCGGGAGGCTGAGGCAGGAGAATCGCTTGAACCCAGGAGGCAGAGGTTGTGATAAGTGAAGATCATGCCATTGCACTCCAGCCTGGGCAGCAAGAGCTAAACTCTGTCTCTGTCTCAAAAAATAAAATAAAATAAAATAAAATAAAATAAAATAAAATAAAATAAAAAAAACACTAGAGGACATTGAGACCATGTTTCACTCATAATAACCGTAACAGACTCAAACAGAAAACGTAGGTTTAGTAATAATTAGAATATCATTAGAATATCAACTCCTGGCCAGGCATGGTGGCTCACGCTTATAAACCCAGCACTTTGGGAGGCCGAAGCAGGTTGATCACGAGGTCAGGAATTCGAGATCAGCCTGTCCAAATGGTGAAACCCCATCTCTACTAAAGAACACAAAAGTTAGCCAAGCATGTTGGCACGTGCCTGTAGTCCCAACTACTTGGGAGGCTGAGGCAGAAGAATTGCTTGAACCTGGGAGGTGGAGGTTGCAGTGAGCTAACATCATGCCACTGCACTCCAGCCTGGGTGACATAGTAAGACTCCACCAACTCAAAAAAAAAAAAAGAAAACAGAAAAAGAAGAAGAGTATTTCAACTCCCTACATCAGTGACTTAGCAGCAAGAGAGCTGTGAATATTTGAAATTATAAATATAATTTATCTCAACTTCAAGTGTTCCCTACAATATCTAGCATTCAGAAAGGGTTTATGATTAAAAAAACACAAGATAAAAACCCATTGTAAAGGTAAAAAAAGATAATAAAGTAAAGCAATCAGAGATTGCGTAGCTGTTGGAATAATCAGCTAGAACATTTTAAATAGCAAGAATTAATATGTTAGAAGTGGAAAATTTCAATGGCATATATAAACAGACAGAGAATTTTAGCAGAGAGAAGAAACTATAAGCAAAAGAACAAATAAAAATGCTAGAACTAAAAAATTATAGTAATAGAAATAAAGAATAATTTTGGCAGGCTAATAACTGCTTATTTAGCCAATTAAAGAATAGTTGAATATAGGCAAATAGAATTTACAAAAATAAAATTAAAGAAGAAAAATAGTGATAGAAAAAATATAAAGCAAAACATCTAAAAGCTATGGCAAATGCCAAATAATATAGCATACTTTTTGGCATAGAAAAAGATAGAGGAAAATACTTCACTATTTGAAGAGATAATGGTTGAAAAATTTCCTAAATTAGTGAGCTATTAAATCACACATCCCAAATACACAGATAAAATTAAGCAAAATAAATAGCAAAAGACGAAAAAGAAAAACTCTTAAAAATACCACAGTATAATTGGTGAGAAAGTCATAAAGGAGGAGGGATTAATTGCATACAAAATAACAAATATATGAAATACAGCAGACTTCTTCTTAGAAAATATGCAGAAGAGAAGATATTGGAATGCTGTCTACCCAAAGACATCAAAATAAATGAAATAATAAAGAAATAAATGAAAATCAAGTGAATTGAAAATAGATAACGAAGAAAATCAATAAAACAAAAAACCCTCAAACCCCACATTATTTAAATTATTAATAACTTGAAAAATGTCTAGGCAGACAAATCAGGTAAAAAATAAAGACGCAGATTCCCAATCAGAGAATGGATACCACTGCAGACCATAGAGAAAATTTAAAAACGAGCCATTATTTCTTTAATGTTCATAAACCTACAACTTAGATAAAATTGGGCAATTTTTTAGAGCTATGAATCCCAATGCTCATGCAAGGAAAATAATTTGACATGAATAGTCTTTATTAAATATAAGACAATGCATTTTTAGTTAAAGTATTTCCAAGAATCAAATCTCCAGGCCCAGTTGATTTCAGTGGCTATATTTGTCCAGAAAATAGAATAAGAGCAAACTCTCCACTAATTATTGTATAATATCAGCACTACTCTAATACCCAAAACAGAAAACATTATTTTTTAATTGGAAAAATAAATACATCAATATTGGATCATAAATTATGAGAAATGTATGATAAAAATGTAAGATGTTAATAACGGGGGAGCTGTGTGTAGGGCACAAAAGAGCTGTCTGTCCTATATTTGCAATTTTTCTGAGAGTCTGAAACTATTATAAAATAAAAGTTTATTAAAATTTTATAGCTACAATTATGCTTAATGGTCAATGACCTAATTATTTTTCCCCAAGTTTGTGAGCAAAATCACCTACATCCACCATGCTCAATTATTTTTTAACATACTAAAGTTTCTAGTCAGTGCAATGAGCAGATAAACAACATAAAATTGTACAGTTTGTTAAGGAAGAAATAAAACTATATTCACAGAGAATATGAATCAACTTAGAAAATATTTCAAATAATTTATCAATAAGCTACTACAACTAATATGTGATTTTAACAATATTTCACCATATAAGATAAATGCAAAAATCTACTGAATTTTTATACAACAAAAATGAAAATTTGGTTGTTGAGATTTCTTAAATGATACAATTAAAACAATGTAATAAAAATGGACTATATAGGTACAAACCTAACAGAATGTATTCAAGAGCTTTATATTAAAAACTATAATAGGACAATAAAACAAATTAAAGAAGACTCAAATAAAACAAGCTATACACCATTGTCATTATTAGAAGTAACATTGTCAATTTTTCCTCAAATGATGTAAAGATTTAACACAATTTCCCTAAAATTATATTAGTATTTTGGCAAAAATCAATAGGCTAGTTCAAAATGTATGTGGAAATGAAAATAAACTTGAATAGCCAAAATAATTCTGAAATTAAAAAATGATGTTTCTTGCCCCAGGCTGGTGAGGCCAATACCTGTATCTTTCAAAGTCTTTAGCCACAGCTGCCCTGAAAGTTGTCCAGCCCTAGGAAGACCCCATGTCAGGCAAAGCAAAGGGAAGACTTTGCACATGGATTTGAGGAGCCACCAGGCAGACTGAGGCCTCAACTACAATTCTTTCAGAATAGGGTCTGTTACCTGGATTAAGATATTGTGGCACATATACACCATGGATGGAATACTGCATGGAATGCCATGCAGCCATAAAAAAGGATGAGTTCATATCCTTTGCAGGGACATGGATGAAGCTGGAAACCATCATTCTCAGCAAACTATCACAAGGACAGAAAACCAAACACCGCATGTTCTCACTCATTGGTGGGTCAGAACAATGAGAACACTTGGACACAGGACGGGGAACATCACACACCGGGGCCTGTCGGGGAGTGGGGGACTGGGGGAGGGATAGCATTAGGAGAAATACTTAATGTAAATGACGAGCTGATGGGCGCAGCAAACCAACATGGCACATGTATAACCTATGTAACAAACCTGCACGTTGTGCTCATGTACCCAAGAACTTAAAGTATAATTATACATATACAAAAGAAAAAAAAAAGAACAGGGTCTGTTTCCTCTGGCACTGGCTGAGGAAATAGAATTCCAGCTGCCATCCTCACTGCTGCTATCAATCTTGTGTATGGAGTTTGGTAGTCAGGCTATTTAAACCAGGACAGTGCACTCAGCACAAAGCAACAGCTTCTGTTTTCAAGCCATCCCTGTTTGAAGTAAGGTTTCGAATAGATTCCAGTGCTCTGGAAAGTCACTTCTATTGATTTTTGCCAGCTCATTAGTTGCGTTTGAGGAGCGACTGAGCTCTGGAATTTCCCATTTTGCCAATTTTGGTAATGTTACCTCCATAATTAGCTTTCTTAACCACCTTATTCTTCTCTTTTTATACCAGCAATGGTAAATATGTGTTGGTTTGTTTATGTTTTATCCCTCCATAAGTATAACACAAGTCTTGTGACTCTGTTTATTTTTCTCTTCTTTCTTCAACTGTGCTTGGCAATGATAATGTCAATTATGGATATTTAAAATATTATAAGAAAGGAAAATAGGCAACAGAAGATGATCATAAAAAATTGTAGCACTAAACTTGCTTAGTAGTTCATGGAAGATGTACTCTTTAAGGCATGGCTTTCTTCCATTCAGTCAGATCTCACTGATCCAGTTTCCAAGTGATTATGCAATTCTACTGGGCCTTGTTTTTACATGAATCCAGGAAGAGGAAAATGAGAGCTGTAAGAGACACGCTACCTCATAAAAGCCTTTTCCGTACAGTAACACACATCCCTTCCATTTCGGTTTCACTTAGTTACATGTCTGGCAAATAGTTCAGAAGAATAAATGGATTTTGATAAACAGCTAGCAATTTCTGCCATGGGATGGTTTGAGTCAGCTCTTTTTCAGATCATTCCTGAAAAACGGTGAGTAGTTTTCTCAGAAGAGAGTAGGATGAAGTGAAAAAACAGAGAGAGGAAGTGCATGTGCAAAGGTTGGGAGGCAGGAAACAGCTCAGAATCCTTCATATCTGAATGAATAGTGGTATGCCCAAAGGGAGAGTAGTGGAAATTGATGTTGAAAATGTATGCAAGGGTCAGATCAAGCAGATTATTTGCACAACGTTTTATAAAAGTTATAGATTATAATTGTGCTGCAAAGAAAATCTGTTTATAGAGGCTATCCAGGGAGAAAATTGATCAGCTTTGCATATTTTAGGGATTACTATCCTTATTGAATGGATAATTAGTGGAACTTATGTTTATGCAAGAATAACTAGACAGCTTTCACTAAGACTGTCGCAGTGAAGATAAACATATGAATTAGTGATGTTTAAGAGGTAAAATCAACAGAAAATGGTTGACACACACTTTCAACTTTAACATGAAAAAAAGGCAAATATCCTCAAATATTTGCAAAGATGACACGTAGTAACGTTCTCTGTCGGTATTTGATGTTGTTCTTTGAACAGCACCTAGCATAGAGTTCATCTTTGATAAATACATTTGAAATGAATGAGTGCATTAAAGTACAACACTAGGGATAGAAAAGGGAAGAATAGCTACTGTGTGTGAGCTAAATTCAGCATAATATAAGAAAGAATCATATGAAAATTTAAAAATGTCCTTACTATTAAACCTTCATAATATCACCAAAGGCTGGATTATCAGAGGTTAGAAACTGAAGCACAGAGTAAAAACAACCTACTCAGAGGAAGCACTGGGAAGCTCTGCTCACAATTAATGAACAAGGAAGCTTTGTTCTAAAATGAGGATTTGAGAGCAATGAAGGCTAAATCAACATAACTCAGAGAGCAAGTGCTTATAGGTTTCCTCCTCTCAATGTTTACCTGGCTTCATGTTCAATGCACAGTGGCAATGACGTGGTAGTGGCATACAATGTAACACATGCAAGAATCTGATATCCCTACAACAAAAATAAAACACATCTAATTTAGCATCCTATATAGGTATTCAAAATTCTCCTCAAAACTATAATATGAGTATATTTTAATCTAAATGCATATCTATATATACTTTTATATATAGATTATATACTATAATCTAAAACTATAATATTTGAATATACTTTAATCTAAAAGAGGCAGTGTGTTAATGCCTCTACTATGACTCATTTGATGAGCAAATAACTTTTTACTTTAAAATCATACACTTTTGTAGCTAAATCAACCTGAAAATTGATACTTGGTATAAAAACACATTTATAGTTTAATAATTTTTTGAAAGTTATTAGAGTCTTGATTGAAACTATTACCCACTGTGAAAATGAGAAAGATTTTTAATTAGCTTTATTGAATCTGCTTAGATTGTGACACATGATGAAAATTCTTTTTTACTTTTGCTTGTTTTTCATATTTGAATTTGTTTACTGGAACTCATTATATAACTAGTTCACCTCAATTGTTTAATTTTCAAAGTACATTTAACTGAAATACCTTCAGTTAGAAAAATCCTACTTTTCAAAATGAAAAATCCCCTGAAATCCAAATGGCAATTAAATAAAATAGGTCAGGCTGATCTCTGCCTTGAGGGAGAAGAATGGGTCTGAGTCAAAATATAATGGGAAAGGAAGAGATGTGACATAAAGTCAAGCAGAAGAATGTGACATGTGCTCATAAGAGTTTTATCAGAAACTTAAAAGTACATTTAAGTTAGTACTCAGATATGTAGGTGATTAGTATTTGCTTGAACAGTAGATATTATATCAGAGCAGTTGCCTAAATTGGCAAATGGCAACCAAGCATTTTCTATGTTTTTCATCTGTTTCTTTCTGTTGCAATTACAGAATTAAATTGAACTCTTCCAGACATTCTTTGTTTGGATCAGTGGTGGGTGTGACAACTGTCATAACATACAGCCCAGGGGTACAAAGTTTGACTAAAGAGGAGGACTGGCCCCAAAATGAAACAGGCAATCTTAAAATTGGTATTTTCGTATCTGCTGATAATGGATTTCAAGGAAAACTGCTTTAATCTCAGCATCTGTCTCCTGTTAACCACCACCATCACCTCTCTCCTGATACACATTCCCTTAGGTATAAGAAATCATAGACTTTCAAGGATTCTTCTTTTCCTAGAATATTTAGAGAAAAAGAGTTATGATTTGTGCCTGTTTCTGAGTCAGCTCATTGAGGTGCCTAATTCTCCTGTCTTTTCTGATTCTGAATAAGCTGCTTGGATTACTTTTGATTTTGCTGCTCTGCAAAGTCTGTATGTTGCAGTGACTTTTCTCCATAGCTCAGATGCTTCCATCCTTTCAATGGCCATATTGGAGAGTTGGTGTTGAAAAACTCCCCACTTAATTAACAAATTCTAGCTCATTAGAACTGCACCACCTTTAGCCTGTTCTAAGTAGTAGGCTTTCAAAGAAAGGTAGAACACAATAGATGAGAATTTCAGTATTATTCAGAATATGGCATACTTCCTCTTTTTTGCTAGTTCCTAGAGCACATCTAGCTCTGCCATCCCTAGGCTATCAGTCTACCACTGCATTTCTCCACATTACTTGGGTGACCTGTTGAATCATTCGGGCCTTCTGCTTCTGCACTCCACCCTGAGTAATACAATACAGACATTGTGAATTACACATTTTCTGAAATCTCAGTGCCAATCTCTTTGGTATATCTACTTTAGCTCAAAGCCAGAGAAATTCTCAATTAAAAATGCATATTAATATATATCTTAGTTAGGCTTCCCATGGAAACTAAGAACAGGTAATAATTTGGATTTCAAATAATTTAAAAAGGAAACATTTTCATTTTATTCAGAACTCCTTAGTATTGTCTCATACAGAAGTCTGGACTCTCTTTTGACTACCCAAGTAGTCTGTTGCAGAAGCAGGTGACATATGTTGCTATGCTTTTGTTCTAAACCAACAATTTTCAACTGGGAGTATCAAGTAGGTAAAGACTAAGGATGTTGCTGAACATCCAACAAAGCACAGGACAACTCTTTACAACAAAGAATTATCTGGCCCAAAATATTACTAGTGCTGAGGTTGAGAAATCTTGCTGTAATTAACATATGCATCCTCTATTATAATCCTCCATGTAATATGCCTAGATGCAGACCTATGTAATACAGTTGCAACTTTATATTTTTATGTATTATTTATTAGCATAAATTGATAATGGATATTTTTGTCAATTAATGATTATGTATTTAGAAATATTTTGCATATGTATATAACTTTATAGATTAAATGCTATCTTTCAAATCATTATCTTATAAGTTCATTAAAAGAAGACTTAAGTAAGGTACTTTTTTCTCCATATTGAGAAAAAGAATGTTAGATGTCAATAAGCCCTAGTTAACATTCAGTCAGTTCCCCTAATTTCTAGATACAAGAGCTAAAAAGAAGTAAAGCAGTTTTCTGATTTACATTGCTAGATAATATAAGTAGAAAAAAATAGAATTACATGTTTAAAATATGTTACTTTTAAGGATCTTTTTTAAAGGATAAGTGCATCCAACTCCCAGAAGCTGTAAGAAATGAGTATCATATCCAGCTCCTCCTCCTCTTCCAAACCTATCCTAGCTTCATTAAAGAGTTAGCCACAAGTAATGAGAGCCACTTTAGTCTGGGAAATTTTGTTTACCCAACCCCCACTCCTGGGATGAGTGATAGCTAAATGGCTCACTAATATGGACATACAAGAGCCTAGATTTCCTTGCTCAGGTAGAGGCAACTCTAGCAAGGCTTTACCTGAAACTGAATCCTTGCCAAGCTCTTTTCCCTTCTCTACTTTTTTTTCATTTCCTCGGTTGCAGGTTTTTCTGAAGCACACTTTATTATAAAGTGACAGGCACTTGAATACTTTTCTCAACCTCTGTTTCTTGGAAACCCAAACTAAGACATTTGGTACTCTTCCCTTCCCTCTACCACACCAATATCTAGGGTTATATAACTATAGGAAGCAACTGAGCAAGATTAAGGAAATAGATTACATGGCAAAGGAGCTGCAAAAACTGGTCAACTTGTAAAGGCAGGAACTGGGAGGGTAGGACAGGAGTGGATTCGAAGAGTGCTGGATAAAGGAAGGAAAAACAAAATTGGTCCTCCAAAGTAAGCTCTATGGATGAGCTTCTAGAGTTGGGTTACTTACTGGCTGATGAACCCCATTTCTACTCATTGCTCATTATGGAATGTAGCTGCTAAGCCTTTACCTGTGTTAATCTGGAATGTAACACAGGTAGAAAAGAATGCCCTGTCTCAAACCATATCTCTAACATTTAAAGAGAGAAAATGACAAGATTAGGGTATTAACAAAATCATAAATATTAAATCAAGTTTAGATACATTTGCGTAATATCAGTGGATGGAACAATTCACTTAACTGTTTCCCTTCCTCAGTTCAAAGGTAGAAACTTGCCTTGCTTAAGAACTATACAAATGTCCAGTAAGAAGGTATCTTGTAAGATAATGCTTCCTTCCTTGGAATCTGCCTTCATCTCTTCTTTCTTAGACCAATAACTAGGGTTAAATCTCTACATGATTTTACTAGGCAAGTTCTGGGTTTGCTAAAGAAAGAGAAGGATCATATACTGAAGAAGCTGTAAGACCTGGCTATCATGTACCTGAGAGAGTAGAACTAGGTATGCCTCCTAAGGAAGTAAAACGTAAAGGTGAATAAGAGAATGTTTGTTAATATAGAGTCACTCTGCCATGACAAAGGGTTTAACATCCTGACAAGAATCCCAGGGTGTGTTCTATTACAGGTGGAGTGACTCTGAGAAGTTTGAGAAAAGCAATGGCTCACATTAAAGAAGTAGAGTTATGAGAACTGTCATGAAAGACTATTGAAGAGCACAAAAGGCTATCATTTTTTTACTGCTATCATGGGGCTACTCTGTAAGGAAAAGCTTCCAACTTTGCTGAGATTATTTTATTTTATATTTTTGAGTTGGAGTCTCACTCTGTCACCCACGCTGGAGTGCAGTGGTAAAATCTCAGCTCACTGCCACCTCCACTTGCCAGGTTCAAGCGATTCTCCTGCCTCAACCTCCTGAGTAGCTGTGACTACAGGCATGCACCACCATGCCCAGCTAATATTTTTGGTATTTTTTAATAGAGACACGGTTTTGCCATGTTGGCCAGGCTGGTCTCGAACTCTTGACCTCAGGTGATATACCCGCCTTGGTCTCCCAAGTGCTGGGATTACAGGCGTGAGTAACCATGCTTGGCCGAGATAAAATCTTTTATGCTAGCAAATTGTATTTATGAACAGTTAAAGGGATATCAGGAAAGCCTTAGGTGTTCTTTACCTAAGGTAAAAACAAACACAGTGGCGAGAGAAGCATAAGCTTCCTTGAGTAGGCTTGTCATGCCTATTACTTGGTAGACCAGAACTAATGGTAGGAGATGCTACTACAGAATTAGTCATCCTGGTAGCAAATGGTATGATCAGATGTAGCAATGCAAAGGCCGGGTGGCAGCATTTACAAATAGAAATAAGGTGGGTATAATTTCCATAATGAGCAACAGGTTCAGAATGAGAGCTGGGGCTTTTGACTTGCTAGAATCTACAGAGATGGATAGTATAATTTGGTGTTCCAGTAAGCAATATAAATAAGTAAGCAATAACAGTATTGTTTATGTGTAATCACAAGTGGTTAATAATGAATGAGAGTAAGACTGCACTCAATTGCTACAATGGTAGTCTTAATCCTTTCTCCAGTTTTCAGACCTATTGACTGAAAGAGTGAACTAGTCCAAGAAAAGATTGGGTTCTAATGAAGAAACATCCTTTAAACACTCTAGTAAGTGCATGCAGTATTGATTATTCCAATAACTCTCCAAATGTAGTAGAGATGCAAGAACTGCTGAAAATGGACCCAAAACTATATTATTAGGTAACTATACACTGAGGAAAAGGAACTTTCCAGATCTTTTGAGAATCCTTGATTACAAGGGTAGAGTTGATACAAATATCTAGGAATCCAAAGTGCTAGCATAGTTCCCCTAATGGACTAAGGATATATGGGAGTCAGGTATTAAAGGAGTCTTTATGCAGGCCCCTGTCACAGTGAGTCCACTAGAACCATGGACCTACCTGGTAGTAATCTGCTGAATATATAATTAGATTGCATTTACCTAGAAATTGGAAAATGACTCAGGTTTCTTTCCTTACCTGAAGAGTTAGATCTATTGTAATAGAAAAAGCTAAATAAAGTACCTTAAAACTGACTTACTGTCTTCACTATGAGTAAAATAAAAATAATTGCATTCTAGGGGAGTAACATAAATTAGGTTCTCCCAAAAAGTCCTAAAAGATGCATGAATCTTGTCTTCTCATATTCTCATTTTGCTCATCAGTTTGGCACTTGCAAAAACCAGATGGACAATGACAGATGAAAGTGGGATACCACAAGCATAATCAAATAGTAGTCCCAATTGCAGCTGCTGTGCTGGATAAGGAATTTTTGCTAGAGCCAACCAACACAATCTTGGCCACTAGAATAAAACTTTCTCTGGACAAATGTAATTTCCATACCCATCAGTGTGGAAAATTATATAGGATAGCATTCACATTGTACAGACAACTATATGGTCTTGCCCCAATGCTAAGTTCATTATTTTTCACTCTGTTACAATATAGTATGACAGAATCTAGACCCATCTGGCATTCCTATGAACATGTCATAGAGCCACTCTATCAATGCCATCACGATAATTAAATCTGATGAGAATAAAATGGCATCTAATCTGGATGTCCTGGGAAGATACATCTTCTCTAGATGATGGATATAACCCTTCCAAAGATTCAAAGGCCTGCCACTTGAGTTAAGATTTTAGGAGCTGAATTGTCGAGGACATTCCAGGACATCCCCTTTAAAGTAAAAAAAAAAAAAGTCTGTAGTACCTTGCAATCCTTGTCAGTCTCTAAGAAAGAAGCTGAGCGGTTGGTAGATCTTCTTACCATTAGGATTTAGAATATGATACTTTTGAGAATACTGTTCTTACCTACTTAATAGGTGTGCAGAAGGTGGGTAATTTTGAACTGAGTTCAGAGTAAGAAATGGCTCTGCAGCAGGTCTAGCCGATTATGCAGGCAGCTCAGCAGTTTAGGCTATGTGATCTGGCAGACCCAAACTATGATAGGTATCTACTGTAGAAGAGTGTCATCTGAAATTTCTGTCAAGTGCAAAAGAAAAACCATATTACAGACCTCTAGATTTCCAGGGTAAAAAATATAATAGCTCTTGACATGCTACTAGTCCCTTGGAGGATGCAGAATATCTGACCGTGACACGTCACATGACCATGCAGCCAGACCTGCCCATCATATGCTGGCTGCTGTCAAACCCACCAACTCACAAGCTCAGAAAACAATCTTTCATAACATGGAAGTTAGTTTTCCTGCATTGGACAGAGGGCATACATAAGCTGTGTTAAGTGACCTAGCCCCCTATCCTGTGCGACCAATCTCTGCTATACTGACACCTCTTCTTCAGCTCTTATCTGTGGCCTCACAGAGGATCCTAATGACCAAGTTAGTTAAAGCAAAGGAATCAGAGCTGAGTTCAGAGATGAGACAGCTTAATATGCTGTGCATGCCACAAATGGGCAGCTGTATCCTTATCCCCTCACCCAAAGATGACTCTAAATTTATTTTAGGTAGTGCACTCTGTAGTCTACCTTGTGGGAAGAGAGAAGTGGTCCCCAGTAAGAATAGATATGGAATTACGAATGGCAGGAAATTGCTTAGCTGATTGGATGGTTAGGGATATGTAGTCTAGAGGCACATGTATTGACCAGGGTGTGAAAAGTTTATAGTATTCACCAGCACACACAAGAGAACACTAAGAAAAAGACATGAGATACCCAATGGTGACTTGATCAGTTGATGTCAGCATGCCTTTTTCCTTGGTCATTTTGTGTGGTAGGCCTATGTACAAAGTAAATTGAGTAGCAGAAATGGAAGCTCTGCATGGGACTAAGGTATGAGATCCTGCTTTCCAACGTTGCTCTAGTGATGACTGCTGAAGAATGTACTACCTACAAGCAATAAAGGCTGTTGGTGAGCCCACAAAATAGCCTCACCCTTCAGGATGCTCGGTAGCCATGGAGTGGTAGGTTGATTGTATCAGATCTCTTCAATTCTGGAATGGGGAGCTATTCATTCTGTGAATATCTATGAGATTCGTGCATATCCTGGCTATATGTTTTCTCCCCCCTCAGGACTTCCCATAGCACACTATCTAAGCACTAAAGGAGTGTGCAGTTAATTGAAAAACAATCATGCCAAGATAATAATTTTGCAGAAGAGGACGTGAGACAGTAGTCACATGACCATCAGGTGCATTGGCCATCTCTGACTGACATCCAGATAGTGAAACGATTTTTTTTACCATATTAACAATTTTTATTTGTTAAATTCAGTGGGATCAAGTATATTCACATTGTTATGCAACCATTATTACCATCCAGCTCTAGAACTTTAGTATCTTTCCAAGCTGGAACTGGATCCCCATTAAACAATAATTCCCCATTGCCCCTTCTCCCTGTCTTAGCAACAACCATTCTATTTTCTGTCATCACAAATTAGACTATACTAGGTATCTCATATAAGTGGAATTATACCATATTTATCTGTTTGTGATTGGCTTATTTCAGTTGGGATAATGTTTTCAGTGTTGCGCCATATTGTACCATGCGTCAGAGTTTCCTTCCTTTTTAAAGTTGAATAATATTCCATTGTATGTACAGGTCACATTTTGTTTACCATTCAACTGTGTCAATGGGCATTTGGGTTGCTTCCAACATTTAGCTATTTTAAATAAAGTTGCTATGAAAATGGTTACACTAACACTATCTTTTTGAGTTTCTATTTTCTTTTGGGTGTATATTTCCAGAAGTGAAAATCTAAATCATATGTTAAGTCTGTGTTTCATTTTTTGAGGAACTGCCATGTTTTTCATAAACATTGCACCATTGTATATTAACTTCAGCATTCACCAGTGTTCTCTACATCCTCAGCTATACTTGGTATTTTCTCTGCTTTAAAATTATTATTGTTTTTAATTGGCATAACATTATACTTGTATAATGCATACAAGTATAAGCATAACATTATACTTGTACATATTTACGGGGTACAGAGTGATATTTCAATTCACTTATACAGTATGTAATGATCAAATCAGGGCAAATAGCTTACTCATCACCTCAAACATTTGTAATTTCTTTGTGTTGAGAATATTCAAAATTTTATCTCATAGCTATTTGAAATATACCATAAATTATTCTTAACTAAAGTTACCCTACAGTGTTTTAAAACACTACAAGTTATTCTTCCTATCTAGCTGTAATTTTGTATCCATTAGAAAACCTTTCCCTATCCCCAACTCCCTAATCCCCCAAAACTCTCTACTTACATGGCATCAACTTTTTTAGCTTCCCCAATATCATGTGGTATTTTTTTTTTTCTGTGCCTGGTTTATTTCACCTACCATAATGTCCTCCAGGCTCTTGCATGTTGCTGCAAATGACATAATTTCATTCCTTTTTTTATAGGTGAAAAGCGTTCCATTATGTACAAAATTTCTTTATACATTTGTCTGTTGATGGACGCTTAGTGTGATTCCATACCTTGGTTATTGTGAATAATACTACAATGAACATGAGAGTGCAGGCATCTCTTCAACATACTGATTTCTTTCCCTTCAAATATATATGCCTAATGACACAGATCATGTGACAGCTTGAAGATGATACCCTTTAAGAATGATGTTTTACATCGTGAAACCCGTTCTCTACTAAAAATACAAAAATTAGCTAGGCATGTTGGCACACACCTGTAGTCCCAGCTACTAAGGAGGCTAAGATAGGAGAATCGCTTGAACCCAGGAGACAGAAGTTGCAGTGAGCCAAGATCATGCCACTGCACTCCAGCCTGGTGACAGAGCAAGACTCCGTCTCAAAAAAAAAAAAAAAAAAATGAATGATGTATTACGCCATTCTTGCATTTCTGTAAGAAAATATCTGAACCTGAGCCTAGGTAATTTATAAAGTAAAGAGGTTTAATTGGCTCACAGTTCTGCAGGCTATACAAGTACTATGCTGGCATGTGCTCAGCTTCCAGGGAGGCCTCAGGGAGCTTTCAATCATGATGGAAAAAAAAAGTGGAAGCAGACATGTCACATGGCAGAAGCAAGAGGAAGACAGAGTAGGGGGGAGGTATCACTACACTTTTACACAATCAAATTTTCTGTGAAATCACTTACTATCCTGAAGACAGCTCCAAGCCATGAGAGACCCGCCTCAATGATCCAAACACCTTACACCAGGCCACACCTCCGTCACTGGGGGTTACATTTCAACATGAGGTTGGGATAAATATCCAAACCATATCAGATGGTGAGCGACCCTTCAGAATACTTTTATATTTTAAACTAAAGCCCACTCATTATCTGGTACTGTGTGTGCAATATGTAGAATGGATCTGGGAACTAAGGAATATAAATAGGAATGACACTATCTATCAGAACTCCTTGTGACTCATATGGTAACTTTGTACAATCCATCCCCAAACATTTTGGCTCTGTGAGATTAGAAATCCTGGTTTTCTGAGCAGAGACACCACCAAAAAACACATTAATTGTACCTCCAAACTTAAAACCCCAGCTTTCACTTGGTTATTTGATGCTTTTTGAGTCAGTAGATCAACAGGCATGAAAGAAATATCAAGCTGGCAGAATTATTGGAAATACATTTATGAGAAGTTAGTGCTGTTGCAATGGCATAGGAAGGGAGTATGCCTGGAACTTAGTTTCATGTGCTAAGGTGTATCTTTTTGTACTTCCAGGTTCAGTTTTAATTATAAATGAACAAATATAGCAACCACAGCTGGGTATGTGCATGTTAAACCAGGGATACAGACAATTCAGAAATGAAAGTCTGCTTTATCCCAACAGACAGGGTACCTAGATCAGCAGAAGTGCTATATATAACGGGAG